>NC_000001.11:242396242-242547757 GCF_000001405.40 Homo sapiens | reverse complement strand
ATTTTCATACTCTTTGCTACTATGATTACCTCTACAAATTACAACATAGGTATTAACTATTAACTCCCTGGTTCAGGGTGAAACTTACATTTACCAATATTACATTGACAAGAATGGAAATAAAACGTTTATTTATGTCTTCCTGTCATCCACTGGATAGATAACGAGGCACAGGCTCTCTTCAGTTTGTGGGATAGAGAATAATCAGAATGTTGGATGAGGTCGTAAATCTTTCACCATGACATTTAGGACCTGACTAATCTTATTATTCCCACCAATATACTCAAGACAGGGTGAAAAGATAAGAGAGAAAAAAGTCTCTTCCTTTGGTCATTTTAATTTATAGGCTAACACATTCATTTTAAAAGAAACAAAGCTAGAGATACTCCATATAATGTAAGCCATCTACCATCTTTATAGCACTGGGATGTGGTTTTCATTCTCAGTCCCTTACATCTCCAATGCATCATATTCCAGAAATTTTATTCCCTGCAGGTGCTGAGTCAGCTTGAGTACTTTAAAGATTTGGTCAATAGGAACAGGGACCCTGAACACACTATAGTATGACTTAAATGGTAATGAAATCATCTGGAATAGGTGACCGTTGCACTTTTGGGGACTAAATGTTCATGGAATGAGAACAAAGGGGATTAGGCACAGAAGTCCAACCCATTATCTTATCATGATTAGTCAGAGCTTGGCAATGCAGCCTTCACTCACCACCTTGGCGTGGTGTTGGTGGTGGTGGTGGAGTGTTTGGGGTTTGGGAGAAGTTAGGGTTGGTTCACTACAAGGTTTCTGTGGCTTCCCACAGAGCTTCCCATGCAGCGTTTGTCTCTGTACATATTGCAGCCTTGCTTAACCCTGAGGGGACAGATGATGAGCCCTACCACTTCATAATCCAAGAATGATATGGACCTCCTCGCATTGTTTTTAATTCCTCAAATTTCATTATCCTATGCCATCTTCTATCTTAAATTTTCAAAGTGATTTTATACCAGCTAATGTTTTGACATTCATAGCAACTTTGGTCTCAGTAGGTTCTCGTGCACATGGAAGAGAAGGATTAGGATGTACTGAAGCCAGAAGACTTGGGTGTGCGGTCACTAGAGCAAATAAGGATGTGGTTGGATATGGCTCACAGAATGAACTTTACTAAATTTATGCAAAGATCTGTATCCAGTGACTGAAGTTTTGATTCTGGTTAAAAGGCTAAAAGTTTGCAAGGGTGTCCCCTTCCTCTCAGCCTCTCTTCCTCCTCTCTTTGTACCAATTCATTGTGGCTAGAGCTGCTGCAAGAGTAGATTTATCTCCTTGCTTTGATGTAAAGGTCTTTTGGCAAAGGGAAAAGCAGATCAAACTTCAGCAGAGCCCTCCTTGAGCCCTAAAACTAGCCAATTCTGGCGTCATTTTTTATCCATGGGTCAGTCTGCCCTTGATTCTTCTGGCATGCAGCACAATGCCAGATAGATACACTGATTATTGCACTTTTTAACTAGCTGTCTGAACCTCAGTTTCTACATCTGCAAAATAAAATAATAGCTAACTGGGAGGATTCTCGTCAGTAGTAAATAAAATGATGGCAGTAAGGACTACACCCATAATGGATCCTTGAAAAATAGCTATTTTTAGTGGCTATTATTTGTTCGCACCCAATGTTTGGTGTAACTGTGCCATGGAAACACCCTTCATTGGTGGGCAATGGAGGTTCAGATGATGAGAACAAACGCAGTGTTTGCAGTTGTAATATGTGGGTCTCAGGGTGTTATCTACAAGGGGCTAGGGGGATGGACTAGATTTTCAAAGACTTTCTCTGAGGTCAAGAGAGGCCAAAGTACTTCTCAATTTTTTCTTTTTCATTTGTTTTTTTTTTTTTTTTTTTTTTTTTTTTGAGACAGAGTCTTGCTCTGTCACCAAGGCTGGAGTGCAGTGGCGCGATCTCAGCTCACTGCAAGCTCCACCCGCCCCCCCATTCAAGCAATTCTCCTGTCTCAGCCTCCCAAGTAGCTGGGACTACAGTCGCCCGCCACCATGCATGTCTAATTTTTTTTGTTTTTTTTTTTTAGTAGAGACAGGGTTTCACCATGTTGCCCAGGCTGGTGTTGAACTCATGAGCTCAGGCAATCCACCTGCCTCGGCTTCCCAAAGTGCTAGGATTACAGGCGTGAGCCACCTCACCCAGCCCTTTTTCGCCCTTAATCTAGGCAACTGACTGGCCTTGACTGGTATCAGCAACAGATCCCTCCATCCCCCCAGAGACTATTCAGGAAAGGCACTGAGAAGCTTCCATACACCCATGGAGAGGGAGAAGTAATGAACGGTGGAGTCGGTATCTGAACCCAGAGCTGGGGCTCACCAGTCAAGTATTCTTTACTCTCCACCACAGCTGCCAGTATTATTAAACATGGGCTGGGATAGTTGGTCACTTTCTGTCTTTCCAAACATTAGAATAGTAAAAGGCCCAAAGAACAGAAAACCAAAACACCCATGATCATTTTGTGAACAGTCTAGAGTGGGCAATGAATATGTGTATGTACATATGTATGCATGTGCGTATGTGTGTGACATCTATATGTGTTTTGTATGCATCCATATATACACTGATGTATATATGTCTGCATGTTTGTATGTAGGTACCTATACCACCATATGGAAGCCTATTATTTTTGTAAATTCTATTCATATTGATGTTGATTTTAATTTTATATTTCCTTGTCCTTCAAGGCAAATTCCTAAAGACACAACAGCAAATTTAGTGGAGAGCAAAAAGTACTCTAGAATAATTTTAAAATTGAAATGTATTTTTATGTATTATTAAAGAATTATAATCTTATTGAAGAAAATGTAAAAAAAAAAAATGAACCTCTCTGAATTGGAGTGCCCTAGCATAATGACCACTGGCATTTGCAATCATTTCTTCCAGCCTCCTTTCTTAAGATTTTTTTCTCTTCTCTCTCTCTCTCTCTCTCTCTCTCTCTCTCTCTCTATATATATATATATATATATATATATATATATATTTACAACCCTTGAGTAAGCTATGTTAAATCCGGAAAATAATAATATAACTGACAGTATTAGCCATTACTTCCTCCTCCAGTGGATTTTAAATTCCTTAAGGCAGGAACCATGTCTTACTCAGCTTTCTATTTCTGATTTTTCTCTTCCCCCTTAAGGCTTACTACAGTGACTTGTATCTAGCAAGCATTCAATGAGTGCTGCTGAATCATATTTTGCATGGAAATTGTAGAAGACTGAAGAAATCCTGGGAATAAAGATTCGCGTGTCAAATGAACGATGAGTTTTAAACTGAAGACATAGTAATAAAGTATGCTCTTCCCAGGAGACTAGACTGATTCCAAATATGCACTCAACATTGGGATTTCTATTTTCTCCAAGGTAAGAGTGTTCCAGTTTATTGAATCCATTCACAACGTGGGCAGGTTCCTGTCATTCAAATCAAGTTGGCCTTCAGTAATGGATTTATGCAACAGGAACATGCAAAGTAGATTTTTATTAACAAATGTCCCTGTTCAATCTCCAAGGGAAGTGGCAGAACTGCTTTCTCATGATAAAGAGGATTAACTAAATGAAGAACTGCAGTTAATCTCTGAGTTTGCCCTGATTGTTCTGCAGTGCTCTTTTTGAAAATAAAATTGGAAGGTCTTGATGCAACTGAAGTCTTGCCATTGCGCCCTTATTCAAACTGCAAAAGGAATGCCAAGTCTGGATGGTGTGTGTTGTGTGTCAGACAGACAATCTCACTTTCGTATAATTTTTTTTTTTTGAGATGAAGTCTCACTCTGTCACCCAAGCTGGAGTGCAGTGGCACAATCTCAGCTCACTGCAACCTCTGCCTCCCAAGCTCAAGCAATTACAGGTGCCTGCCACCACACCTGGCTAATTTTTGTATTTTTAATAGAGATGGGGTTTCACCATGTTGGCCAGGCTGGTCTTGAACTCCTGACCTCAAGTGATCCATCTGCCTCGGCCTCCCAAAGTGGTGGGATTACAGTGAGCCACTGCACCTGACCCTGTCTAAAATTTTGAATTTTAAAATATTGCAATAATCATGATGTCAAAATAACATGAAATTTTAATAGAATCATTGTATTTGGGTTTGTCATCTCATTGATTCTTCTTCCCAATATGTAAATCTGTATAGTAGTGGTCTCTCAGCCTGTGCTTAAATGTTTTCATTGTTGGGGAACTATAATCCCCACCCCCAAATCAATCTATAAATGTAGAAATTTCTTATATTGAGCTGAAGACTGTCTCCCTGCACCTCCTATTCATTAATAGAATTTCTAAGGGAGACAGATAATGAGTTATAGTTGCCCGTTAAAGTTTGCAAGAAGTGGAGACCTATAGTTTATCTCTGCAGATCCATCTATCCCCCAGGGTGGCCCAGGAGCTTTTAGATATCCAACCTTAGCTGAGAAGGTTGTATGACAGATACAGATTTGAGGGTGTCAGAGGTAGATAAAAATAGAGTTTTTCTGCAAAGATAGCAGAGGTTTTTTAAATCCCATAGAAGGGTGGAGATAGAACAGAACTGGGTGGGGTAACCTGAGGTATGTGTATCGGGGATTGCAGGAGGGGAGTTCATTGGATATAAGAGGAGAAAATAAATTTCAAGGCAGAGGGGCCTCTGGGAACCAGGAAAGGGGCATGGAACACGAACACAAAAAAGATTTTGAGTTCAAATTTAGAATGCCCTAGATTTTCTACTTGACCCTTAACCTCATTGTCCAACTCATTCTCTATTTCTCTCTGGAGTACCAAGGTGAGGGGACAGTGAAATGGGCCATCCTCAGTGAGCTGGCTACACAGGAAAACTTCTAAAAATAGTTTGAATAACAATGACCATTTGTAATGAAGTGCCAAGGCTTTTACCTATATCAGCTATGAGAACTTTTTTAAAAAAACAAAATTTTAAAACTTTTTTTAAAGATGGGGGTCTCACTCTGTTGCCCAGCCTATAGTATGATGGCACCATCATAGCTCACTACAGCCCAAAACATCTGGGCTTAAGAGATCCTCCTGCCTCAACCTCCTGAGTGGTTGGGATTACAGGCATGTGCCACCATGCCTGGTTATGTTAATCCTTGCCACCACCCTCCTGAGGCATCCTCATTTTACCAATGAGGGAACTGAGGCTCAGACAGATAACCTGTTGAAAGCAAGACAAACTAGCAAGAGAGCCAGGATTCAAATAAGATCTGTTTAACTCCAGAGCCCATCATCTAACCTTCATACTATACTGCCCTTGTGCTGGAGCTCTCCATGGTCATGAACAAGAGGTGGGGAAAGGGTGGTGTATGTGGGCAAGGGGCGCATGTGTGTACAGTATCTTCTGATCTTCTGCCTACCCTGCCCGCAGACACATGCAATAGAGAACATTGGAAATGAGAGAACAAACTTAACTGTACAACCTGAGGTCATCAGAGGAATGAAAAGAGATGAACATTTACTGAGAATCAACTATATGCCAAGCAGAGTGTCAGGAGTTTATGATATTAATAAGCCATATAATGGCTATAAGAAATAGTAAGGCCTTCTTTAAAAACTACAAGTTCCAGGCCGGGTGTGGTGGCTCATGCCTGCAATCCCAGCACTTTGGGAGGCCAAGGCGGGTGGATCACCTGAGGTCGGGGGTTCGAGACCAGCCTGACCAACATGGTGAAACCCCGTCTCTACTAAAAATACAAAATTAGCCGGGCGTGGTGGCGCATGCCTGTAATCCCAGCTACTCGGGAGGCTGAGGCAAGAGAATTGCTTGAACCCGGGAGGTGGAGGTTGTGGCAAGCCAAGATCACACCATTGCACTCCAGCCTGGGCAACAAGAGTGAAACCTTATCTCAAAAAAAAATAATAATAATAATAAAATAAAAAAACCCACCACAACAAACAAACAAACAAACAAAAAACCCTACAAGTTCCCCATCATAGGACCTGTAGGATAATAATTTTATTGAATTCATATAATAAATGAATGCAGACCCTAATTCTACATGCCTAATATATTTATCTAATTAATAATAGATGGAAAAAGTTTCACAAAAATGTAAAAATAAGATTAAATTAGCACTGCTTATGAGCACGCAACAAGATGCTGTGCTAGTGAGACCCTATGCCATCAAGTATAAAATGAATATGACAGAGCATACCCCATCACACACACACACACACACACAAGACAGGATGTGTGTTTGAATCTACACAAGATGGCATATGCTGAGGATCACACATGAGTAGGCAAATGAGAAAAAATGGAGGGATGCAGGTTTTATATAAAGAAAGAGAATAGATGAGAGCTATTTCACTGTCCTTGAATTTCAAGGTTTAGCTTTTGCAAAACTGAAAAAAAATTAAAAAAAAAAACCTCTTTTGTTCATGCACATAAAGCAAATCCCAAACTACTCACTAAAATGACTAACAGTAACTGAGCCAGAGGTGTGCTTTGGGAGCCATCTGTGAAGACACACTGCTTGTAGTTGTTTCCAGTGGGACTTCTAGGGAGGAGAGTGGCTGGCTTGTTGAGTTTCAGACAAAGTGCATGTGTGATATCAGGTTTTCCTTTGCTGATAGCTGTGTCCAGGTCAAATAAATCATAATTGCTCATCTCCCTGTGGCCTCTAAACCATCACCTGCCCTCAACCTTTCTAGTCTCTCCCTTCCTGGGCTATTTTTCCATCTCTTAGAAGCCAAATACAGTTGTAGTTTCTTCTGTTTACAGATCACTCTTAAAAGCACTGGTGAATTCTGCTTTGTCCATTTTGCCAATTCCATTCCAAGACGCTGATCTTTTGTCTCTCTGGTTTCCAAATGCCTACGTGTTTTCATGTAAAAGAGCTAAGAGATTGGAGCATTGCTAGAGATTGTTGATGTGATGTATGCTAATAGGAGAGAGGTGGCATCTATGAGCCTCTGAGTTTATTTTCAAAGAAAATGGAAGAGATTAAAAACCAAGGTGCAAATAGTGTGCCATTAATGTGCGGTGATACAGGGTCTTGAGAAATGGCATCTCCTGCACACACAGCGATGGGAACCCGAGCATGTGGTGCCAAGTGTTGGCTCTCAGGAAGTCAAGGTGGCACTGCTTGCAATAGTTACACTGTCTCCTCTCTTTTACTGATTCCCCTGCATAGCGATAGGCAAGGTAGATGCTATGGCCATTTAATATTCTTATCAACAGCATAGTAGCCCAGAGAGTATCTGTTCTCTTGTTCATTTGCATAAGCAGCAAATCTTTTAGCCAGATCAACAACATGCTGGTTTCTACCCACATCTATGCAAAACATGAACTAATGTTTTGATGAAATAGGATTGCTGCATTGTAATGAAGTAGGAAAATGAGCCACATTTATCTCTTCTTTCTTTTCCCCTATGTAGTAGTGACTGGTGTATCATTAACAGCCAACTCTGAGGGTGATGGAGGGAAGCCCTGATTTGTAGTATTTGCTGATTTCCATGGTGTAAATAATCTCATCATTGCTGATTTCAAGTTTCCAACCTGTAGTCACTGAATGTGGCATTGGGAAGACATGTGCACAGCTGGCTCCAGCACAACACTGCCTACACGGTCTACGAAACTAAGTGAATAAGATTCTACAAAGAAGGCCAGGTGCAGTTGCTCAGGCCTGTAATCCCAGCACTTTGGAAGGCCGAGGCGGGCAGATCACCTGAGGTCAGGGGTTCCAGACCAGCCTGGCCAACGTGGTGAAACCCCGTTTCTACTAAAAATACAAAAATTAGCCAGGTGTGGTGGCGGCACTTGCCTGTAGTCCCAGCTACTTGGAAGGCTGAGGCAGGAGAAATCGCTTAAACCCAGGAAATGGAGGTCGCAGTGAGCTGAGATCATGCCATTGCACTCCAGCCTGGGTGACAAGAGTGAAACTCTGTCTCAAAAATAAATAAATAAATAAATAAATAAATAAATAAATAAATAATAAGATTCTACAAGGAAAACATCCCTAGAGTTGGAACTCTAATATTTCTCATGATTGAGTCCTGACTTGGCAAACTATTACATTCAAACTAAGATAAATGAATTACTTACTATGATATGATCATAGTATTAAATTTTTGATATGTATGTCCTGTCCAAGTGGACCATAACACTGTGATTAACTCTAAAAATAAATGCTACCACTTAAAGCTGACTTCACACTGTCTATATTCACACATTGCTCTGTGCTTTCCTGATAAGTCACAAAATTAGATGTTTGTGCAGCTCTTTTGGTAAATGATTGTAATTTCTTAGGTGTCATTTGTATCCCCACGAGGACTCCAGGATATAAGCAATATAATCCCTTCAAAAGGGAATCCCTTTTGAAGTATTTTTACCAAAGGATTTTTGTTGACTCTCTTAAAATAATTTCATCTCCTTTTCTCTGGAGAGCCTGCCCATGGAGTTCAAATTGCCAACCTGAAGGTCTGCAAATAGGAACAAGAAGACAGGCAGAGGCAAATACAAAGAAATGATTTATCAGTGAAAAGAAAGATCTTCGAAAAGTATTCTAAGCTTTGGGACTTGAAGGAGACAATGAAAGTCTTGAGATTTAAAATCCTCAGATTCCTATATTGTTCTAATAATATCAAAAAGGAGAGAGAGACAGAGAGAGAGAGAGAGAGGATGGTGGTGAGGGGGAGAGAGAAAGAGAGAGAGAGAGAGAGAGACACATACACATCTAAGAAAGAGCTACTCCGAGAGACTGAATATCTTTAAGTGATAAGCTTGTTCCAGGCATATAGTCTTTGTTGCCTTTTTCTTTCAAACAGCCATCTTCATCCCTTGAGTTATTTCTAGGAAGTGGAAGCAGAATCTATCACTCCCTTCAGTCAACTTAACATAATGTAAAACATCATCTGATACCAATCATGAAATTGCGACTGCTCTTCTCACCTTTTTATCTCTTCCTCCTTCCCCTGCATGTTTTATGTTCTATAGAGAATAGGATATACAACAGTAGCTTATCTCCACACTAAGTCATGATGTATGCAGCTATTTGAAATAGACGTACTGCACTCTCTTGCAGCTATTTGAAATAGACATACTGCACTCTCTTCCATCCCTGCCGGCTGGGAACTTTCACTTCCCTTTCTGTTGGAGGATATCAGCTCTCACCATGATGATTGTTTTCTCTCCTTTCTTAGTGTTAAGGCCGCAAGAGGTGCAGTAAGAGAGGTAAAGAAGGATAACATTCCGCCAGTGCCCTTCCATCTCCTGAGAGAAATGAGGCGGTGGCACAGGCAGAGGAATGAGGTGTCTGGCAGGGCAACAAGGCGGTGGCAGACTTTGTAAGCAACTCAGTGTCTTTGTAAGATAGTGATGTCTTTATGTTCTTCAATTAATGGTCACACTCTTTGGCAGCAAAGTTTGTAATCCTGCATCTCCTGATCCTGTAAGCATAGACATATAATTGCCACTTTCCCATCTTATTCTAGAGTACACTCTTGGTTTAGATCGTTTTATTGCAGCCCATGGGTGTTTTTTTGTGCTCTTCTTGTGTGTTTTTTCTATTCAAAAAGCACAAAAGGTGATACTCACTTTTCTTTCTCTTCCTAGTCAGTTCATACTTTAAAGAAATGTAATAGGAGGGGGAGTATTTTAAGATAGAGCCAGGGGAGGCTAGCTGCAGTGGCTCACACCTGTAATCCCAGCACTTTGGGAAGCTGAGGCAGGTGGATCACCTGAGGTCAGGAATTCCAGACCAGCCTGGCCAACATGGCAAAACCCCGTCTCTACTAAAAAAAAAAAAAAAAAAAAAAAAAAAAAAAAAAATTCGCTGGGTGTGGTGGTGCATGCCTGTAGTCCCAGCTACTTAGGAGGCTAAGGCAGGAGATCCCTTGAACCTGGGAGGCGAAGGTTGCAGTGAGCTGAGTTTGCACCACTGCCCTCCAGCCTGGATGACAGAGTGAGACTTGGTCTAAAAAAAAAAAAAAATAGAACCAGGAGAGAGAATTCCCCAACTTTATTTGGCAATAATTTCCAGTGACTTAAAGCATTGATGCAATTCTTGGGACCTTGCAGGGTAGCTGCTTGGTGAAAAAAAAAAGTGCTTCCTGAGTAAATTAATAAAAGGATGCCCAAAAATAAGGTGTTTCAGCTTTGCTACCTGGACCTATCTTTGGGCTACCACAGACAGAGATTTCCTCTGGGTCTCCTTTGTGCTGGAGGAGTAGGAGGAGATAGGCTCTGCTTTTTTGTGACTTCTCGATGGGGGTTATTACTTGAGTGTGATTAGTGCTTTCGGCTATATTTGCTCTTTGGCTTTACTTCTTGAGAACTGGAGATATTTGGCTATTGCAAACCACCTAATTGTTCTCAACTCTACCAAGGTGTTAGCCCAGGCTGGTTGTGCATGTTACCTTGTCATTTGTTGTTTCCTGATGAGCCAAGGAAATGAATGGATCAATACAAATATCTGTGCTTTTGTAACCAAGGCTGAAGTAACAAAAAGGAAGCTTTCAATCAAGGGAATGAATACTTCCTCCTGACCAGTGAGGGAAAAGTCACAATAGGACTGAGACTGGGTTTCCCAGTTTAGGCTTGGATTATTCAAAACTCTCAGTTGGGTGGGATTAGTGGACAGTCAAGACATTTTGTTCAGGGGCATATGGTGGAGCCAGTTGCCTCTACATACTTTGCCCAATAACTACTATTTTAGAGGAGGGGAGTTTCTAACATATCTGATTGGGCTATCCAATTGTGCATGGTGACTAATAGGTAAAAGCCATTTTAAAATATAAAGTACTATTTCCATGAATGTCATCCATACTATTTCTGACAATAATTATAATATGATATGCTTTGTACTTCAGGTAAGGGCTTTTCTTTTCTAATATAGAAAAGATGTTGCCAGATATCCTTGTTGACTTTACACCTGCTTATGGCAGAAGGCTGAGGGTGATGTCTTATGTGTTCCTGACACACTGATTCACAGTGAGAATTGAACTGATTCTCTGCTAAGCCCCAGAGAAAGTATTAGAATTGAGTGGAGACTACAAAAACATACAGATCCTCCTTGGTGATAGTAATAGGCACTTGGTATTCAAAGCCATTTTCACCCTTGCCAGTTGGATTGATACTCTTGCTAGTGTATTTTAAGATTTATGTCTCTGTACAGGGTTATGGTGTTGATTATACTGCCCTTGTATGGCCTGTGTAACCTCGTGAAAATTGGCTATCACAGCCGGGAAAAGTACAGGACAGATCTCAGCTGTTCCCAAAATGTGTACATGAAGGCAGGGCCCAAATGATTGGAGACAAATCATCAGATGAAAAGAACACATAAATATCTCTGTCCAGGGAGACTGCTTATGGTTTCATCTTTAAAATACAACAAGGGGATGAAAACACACTCACATATGTGTGTATATGTGTATTTTTTAAGAGATGAGAAGGTAGATACAGTCAACACTTGGGACTATGTGGTATTTGTCCTATGCAAACCCTGCTCACTTTATGACAGAGTACATGACGTGGGCTGTTTTTGCTGCACCACCAGAAATGCTTGCATGGCTGTGTCTGCCATCTTCCAGCAATTCCTGGCCAGAAAACAAAAGCATTCCTTAGTGGATTCAAAAGAAAAATGAGAACATGACCAGGTACATTCCAAGAGGATACACTGGAGGAGAACAGAGCAGGACTTATGCAAAAAGCATGCATGACAACACATGTTTATACTGTTCAAAGGCTGAGCTCCTCATTTTTGTCAAGCTGAAAAAAAAATCACTATTAGAATATTTGGATATGGTTTGTTAGAAAAACAGACACTGACACTTTTTTTTCCTGCATTGAGTTACTGAGTTGTAAAAATATGAAACCATTTGGGATAAATTAAATTAAATAAAGATTAGATAGGGATTCATTCCCAAAGTCAATACTCAAGGCCAGTTGTTAGCTGAAGTGTGATGTTTGCAGAAACTTCTGTCAGACCTGTGATTTCAGCAAGCAAGCAATTTGGGACAGTCTTTGATAGCTGGGGTCCATCTAAATCAAATAAGTGATAGCATGGTAGAGAGGGAATATTTTCAGTCTGGGGCATTTGGGTCATGTCCTATCGGTCACTATTTTGGCAAGATCCTGTTGGTCATGGCATATAACATTAGTCTTGGCAGGAATAGTGCTTGGAAGAAAATTTACCTGTTGGGAATAAATTTTTCCCTGCTTAACATCTTCTTCCCTCCCTCTCTCCCTTTCTTCCCTTCTTTCTTCCTTCTTTTCCTCCCTTCCTCTCTCTGTCCCTTATTTTCTTTTTTCTTTCCTCACTTTGATAAATCTCTAAAGTGGAGAGGAATCTGCTATGCTGTGGGCAACCATTAAGCATTGCTTACATTAGAACCACACAGAGTTTTCAGACCAGTGTGGGCAAATATGTTTGAGAGGAAGTTTAATAAGACTGAATGTTGTCCTCACACCTGTAATCCCAGCACTTTGGGAGGCCCAGGCGGGTGGATCACTTGAGGTCAGGAGTTTGAGACCAGCCTGGCCAACATGGTGAAACCCCGTCTCTACTGAAAATACAAAAATTAGCCAGGCGTGATAGTGTGAGCCTGTAATCCCAGCTACCAGGGGGGACTGAGGCAGGAGAATTCCTTGAACCTGGGAGGCAGAGGTTGCAGTGAACTGAGATTGTGCCACTGCACTCCAGCCTGGGCAACAGAGTAAGATTCTGTCTCAAAAAAAAAAAAAAAAAAAAAAAGAAGATTGCATGTTAAAGCCTGCTGTAAAGTCTCAGAAAGCCAACAAAGACATTGTTAGAGGGTAATTCCACAGATGCTGAGTATGCCTGAGTTGCTAAACCACACTCATAACAACCTATTTCAAAATCAGTTCTTCCAGTATTAGCCCATAACCTACTTCTAAACTAGATCAGAAAAGGCAGAGAATTCACTGAGAGGTTAAGGAGACCAGGCGGTGAGGAATTATCAGGGGAAGGGTTGTTTTCTTCAATTATCTCACACCCTGTGAGAGGTCTTCAAAAAAACCAGTTTGGAAACATGACTGCTGATCCTGGAAGTTTGGGGGAGGGCACAGAATCTGGGAGCTAATGTATTTCTGGGGAAGTCTAGAGTTGGAAAGATGGTGTCTTCCTCTTGAAGAACAAAACATCAGGACTATACTGGAAAGGTCTGCACATCCAGAGTCTGAGGGACAAAGGTATCTGATCTTAAGGGCTACAAGTGCTCACAGTAGAGGGTTTCTGGTATTGATCATCTTGTAGGGATCTTCCCCAAGGGTCCTGGTTGGAGGGTGAAGTGACCCATTAGAGGGACGGATCTGAGGAGGGGTGCTGAGAGGAAGTGATGAGCAGTCAGCCTGCTGGGGAGATCTCTGAAGAACCTCCAAAGTACCCCATGGGAGTTAAAAATCAGCCTTTGTTATCTGCTATACTCAAAGAGCATTGGGGCCAGACTACCATCTGGTCAAGGAAGATTTTTCTTCTCTCTTACCCTTAATCCCCATGGCGAATGCTGTGGTATACAACAGATACTTCTTTTCAGGAAAGAAAGACTCATTTCCCCCAGGTTTTAGGAGTGCTTCAGGAAGATGGCCCTCAGCCTTTACCTTTCTATGGGGGTTGCCTCAGCTGAAGAAATTTGCCTTGCCCAATGTCACAGCTGAAGCGAGAAGCCCATTCAATGACTGATTCACGTAGAAAACAAATGAATCCCCAGCCTCTCATGCAGGGCAACTCTGAAGGCCCACCGTAGCTCCAGAGCTCTCTGTGGGGACATCTGAATGAAGCTTTAGTCAGATTGCTCAGATTCTCCCTTAGTCCCATCCCTTCCCCGCATGTGGATCCCCAAAGCACTCCTTGCACATCTATCTCCATCTCAGCGTCTGCTTCCTACAACACTGCAAGCTGCAACACTCCTCATCCTGCACCTGGTCTGCAGGGGCCACAAGCTGCAGTCAGCAGATGGTGGAGGAGACGGAGCACCTCCCTCTTCCACTGCAGGTTCCTAAGTCGAAAACAGACCTCCCAGGGGGAGGAAGGATCTTTCAACTGCATGTGATTCTTAGACTGGGCCATTTAAAATTAAAGGCTGTCCAAAATGAACTACGAGACAGGTCAGATCTTTCATGAGGAGGAAAGAAGAGGTTAATGTGAGTTTAATGGAGATCGTGTGCACAACTGCTTTCCATTCATTCCTTTAATGAACTTATTACAGTAGCATACATTATAAGAATCTGGGTTTTGAAATCTGTCCTGGGTTTGAGTCCAAATTCTGTCACTTACCCTTATGTGACCTTGAGCAGTTCACTTCACCTCTTGAAGCCACAGTTTCTAAACTATGAAATGGAGATGGTAGTAGATTGCTGTGAGGATTAAATGAGATTGTATGCAAAGCTTTGAGCACAGCACCTGGCATGGAGAAAACATTCAGACTTGCTCTCCTCTTGAGTAGCTTCTATGGTTTCTGCCCATGCATGACTCTCCTGGAACAGGAAATGTGCAGACAGTGATATCTCAGGCCAGGCTCTATCTCTTCTCATGGACGAGTGCAAGAGAGTAAATCATAAAGAGAGCTTATATAAATCTCATACCATTTTATTTCTCATGATAAAATTGTAAATGAAGGCAATGATTCTTTGCAACTTCAATCGGCTTGTTGCAATCATATCTTTTTTAAAAAACTGTTTTATGGCAACTTGTATTCAATTTATTGGACCCACTTCTCAGCAAAACCAGCTTTTCTCTTGCAATTGCCTAGCAGATTCTTACTTGGCTGCTGATACCTGACCAGGCTGAGGTCTGAAAATTTTGTTGATTTGTGTTCTATCCTCCCTTTCTTTCCTATCTGTTATTGGTTTAGCGATATGCGAGTCTTCCTGTCTCTCCTACATGCTAAAGGACTCCTTGGCCAGGTTTTCTAGTTGTCACTTGTTCCTCCTCCATTGGTTTCTCCTGTCCTCGTTTCACTGATTTCTCAGCTGGAATTTATAGTCTCCCCTATCCATGACTTGGGGTGAACTCAGTGATCTCTGATGAGTATAAGTCAAGGAGCTTTCTTCTTGGAGAGCCTAAAACTTTTGGTTGCCTTTCCCGCCTGGTACATACATTGACTTTGACACTCTTGTGTCAAAATTGTAGGAGGTACACATGTTCAGCTAACCATAGATCTAGCAACTAGTTTAGTATAATTCAATTTCTTTGTGTCACTAAAATTCAAGTTGCACAATCTTTGGGAAAAATCCTAAGTATACTTATGATTTATTATATTAGAATTTTACTTATGTATCTATAGTAGTCAAATAAATAATTGGTCAATTGGCTAACAGAATTAAAAGGGAGAGAAATGGCATGGCCCTTTTACTATAGTGTTAAATATAGCATATTCCTCACATGCCCCTTCATAATAAAGAGATTAAAGCCTGCAGAGTTCAATGTATCATTCTGAAGCTGCGAATATTACTAAATTATAACCCTACATCTAAGTGAATATCAGGCCCAACTGGTCAGTTTTGGGAAAGACGCCCTGAGTATGTATCTTGTTCCATAGTGATACCTTAGTTGCATCAAGTAAATTAGTATCTGTTTTCTAAAGAAAGACTTTGTATTTTATGTTTAATTCTGTTAAGCAACTCTGAGAGCCAACTTCCTGCTTAGTGACTTTTCCCAACCACTTTGACCTGCCTTCCCAAACCAGCTTGCATATCTCAAATTCTGGGAATGTGTGTTTTTCAACAGCATAAAATGCTGTCTCGATAGGGAACTATTGATTTAGCGTTCTTTTCTGCACCATTAATCCTAACATTTGATCATAATCTTATGCTACTCCTGGTCTCATTAGAGTTTGTCTATTTATAGAATTGTAAATTCCTCTTTCTCAGCATTTATGATTTCTCAGAATTTTGAATCCCCACGGCACTTATAAAATCTTAAATATACACCAGAAACTCAATATTTGTCAAGTTGAAATTTTGAGTTTCCATTTAGCAAAACCAAACTTTGTCCTTTTGCTAAGATCATCGAAATGTGTAGCCATGTTTTCTTTTTAGAAGCTTATTCCCATTTGGGTAATTTTCTCCAGTATCTTCTCCCCAGCTCACCCTTCAGCCCAGGTTCCCCTGCACCTGTAGCTATGTTACAACTACACTTGTCTGCTTCTCCAAGATCAAACTGAAATAATTTTTCATCTTGTTTTGTTTTATTTATCTTGTGTCTCCATGGCCTAGCACTAATCAACTGCCAAGATGAATGATTTTGGAAAAAATAGGAGTGGTCTGAGCATAATTGGAGGAGAAGTGTTAAAAGAGGGAAATGAAAGATATTTAATGTGCCTCTTCCAACTCTGTATATCAATTTAATAGTTTTTATAACTTGAAACCAATCTATCAGGTTGACATGTTGTCAGGCAATCTTGGTTCATGACAGGTTAACTAATTCTTCCTCTATTATTTATACTCTGCCTACATTTAAAACTCAGCCATTGGAGTGGCTTAAAGTAAAAACAAAGACCAGAAATATAACATCATTAAGACTAGGATAAGAACTAGAACCACTGAATCAGGAGGGAGGAGGGGATCACTGGCCTACAAAACCTAAAATCAAAGAAAGTTCTAGCCACCAAGCATAAAAATTAACTCTGAGCTTTCTGAATTTCATTGCTAGGAAATGAATATGTCACATTCTGCCTTCAAAAGATACTGTATAGTGTACAGAAGCTATCAGTAGCTTGAACAAAGGTTGAGATGGTGCACACTGGCTTAGATTTAAGTGATTTGCTGTAGAAAAATGACTCCCACTGTCAGGTATGTTGAAGATCTAAGGAGTCACTGCATTCCTCTTTAGTACAAGTGAACAAATGGTGATGTCAGAGGTGTTACATAGTTTTATGGCACGTACTGTACAAAAATACCAACAATGGATTCTTTCAAAAGAACATAAAAGAAAAGCATGACCACTATTACAGTCAAAGTCTGTTTTACCTGGGTGTCCAAATGTAGTAAATACACATCATTCTCCTATCACTTGACTTAAGGTTAGGTTTCAGTTTCAAAAATGTAAGCATGATTAAGAATTACAGTGTGGCTTATATTATCTTCATATATTTCCTTTTTTACTGTTGAGTTGCACATACTTTATGCTGGGTACCATGATTGATACATAAAAGATCACCTCAGATAATCAAAGTGGAATTTAGAATTCTGGGTGATTTTGAAGTGTTCTCAATTCCATGGCTGTGAGCACAAAGGCCAAATGAAGTGCCAACTTAGGCAACTGTCTGATTAACCTAATCCATCTACACTGAGTCAGGAGAATTCAGACTTTTTTGTTGCCTACCAGAAGCTTTTAGTCACGCTAGATTATTTCAACTATCCTATTTTCTACTTATTTATTCTTAGGACAGCCATTTTCTAATTTTCTGTGTTGATGTGATGGATCTGTCCAAGGCTCTACTGCAAGGCCAAACCTTGTGACCAAACCATAGCATCTTGACAGATTCAATTAGGTAAAGCATCTTGGTTGAGTCCCCACAGCTGGTTGATTGTCAACTGAGCCAACACGACAACCAGGGTTTCTAACTCTCAGAAATATCCCAGTGCCGGCCAGGCATGGTGGCTCACGCCTGTAATCCCAGCACTCTGGGAGGCCAAGGCAGGTGGATCGCCTGAGGTCGGGAGTTCGAGACCAGTCCAGCCAATATGGTGAAACCCCATCTCTACTAAAAATACAAAAATTAGCTGGGTGTGGTGGTGGGCACCTGTAATCTCAGTTACTCTGGGCACCTGTAATCTCAGTTACTCAGGAGGCTGAGGCAGGAGAATCGCCTGAACCCAGGAGGTGGAGGTTGTGGTGCGCCGAGTTTGTGCCATTGCACTCCAACCTGGGTAACAGGAGTGAAACTCTGTCTCAAAAAGAAAGAAAGGAGAAAGAGAGAGAGGAAGGAAGGAAGGAGGGAGGGAGAGAAGAAGAAGGAAGGAAGGAAGGAAGGAAGGAAGGAAGGAAGGAAGGAAGGAAGATCCCAGTGCCATCTGATTTGGTTCTCCTTGTGTAAGTAAATTGGGACCCTCGACCTCACAGTATAAACCCACTCTACCAGGATCTCGCTCTGGGGGCTAGTTGACCTCTCCCTCTCCTCCCCAGTTCTCTCCAGGTCACTGTGGGGGCTCTCAGCCCAGCAGAGATGTACCCAAGCAAGACCATACAGTTTGGTGTTGTGTAAAGGCATTTAGAGTTGAGCCACCCTGAGTTTCTGCCATAGTGTTGCCCCTTGGTCCTTGTGTCTCTTGGGCAGGTCACTCTTTCTGGGTCTTTGTTTCCTCATCTGTAACATAGGGATGGCTCTGTTTACTTTGCAGGATTTTGTGAGAAAAAAGTGATATAATGCCTCTGAGGACCAGCCCACACAGTGACTGGAGTAGGTGGTCAAACAATGAGAATCTTTAGTCTAAAGTAAGTTTGTACATAGATAAGTTCACTTTATTAAATATGTAACATTTAAAAAACCTTCATTGTCATTTTATAACTAATCAATAATAACTACGAGGCTAAAGAAAATACTGTAACATAAAAGACCCTTCTCATATTAATGCTTATGTATTCTTCAGAAAACATTTTCAATCTGGGACTACTTTAATTTTGTTCTACTGGTATTAAATTATTCAATTGTTTCTACAGAAATAATCCTATAATTAACATATGTGGTTAGGAAAGTCATGTTGTTTTTAGCTGTTGAATCTATTTCTTGACAACAAAGAATAGAGCCATTCTTGGGTCAATGATTTTATGTGGTCTTGTATAGTATAAGGGTAATTGAGGAGGACATAAAGCATGCTGTTAGGGAAGGTCTAAGTATTAACATGTTTTATTCTTCAGTAGTAAACCTTTGACAAAATGTAGTAATACTTGGCAACACTACACCTGTGAAAAATACAACTTATAATTGCTAAGAAGTATATATTTGAGATTTTTTTATCGGACATGGTGAAAAAAGAAATCCTTTATTGAGAGTCAATGAACCTGGCTTTTTGACCAGACTCTCTGACTTACATGGCTTTGGGCAGGTCATTTAACCTCCATGAGCTTTGGTTTCCTCCTTTCGAAAGATGGAACTGATAGCAAGTACCAAGACTACTTTCAGATATTTTTCCAAGGAGTAAATGTGATATGTGCTACAGATGTAACTATTGTGGAAATGTAAGGTATTATCATTACTATGAAAGTTTTAATAAAATACTCCCACTTCTTGATACTTTTGGTCTTAAATTTTATGACAATGCAAAGTGCCTAATTCAGACAATATTAACAATTCCTGGTCAATGACATCTGTTAAGTTTAGGTTTGAATTCAATAGAATTCAAATTTGTAGCTGAGTGCAGTTTCTATAATTAATTATAAGCAATCAGGATTAATTGATATAGCTGCTAATGAAAATGATAACTTATTAGAATGACATAAAGAATATTTCTGGGCCTGAAAGTTCTAAGAACAGTAACATTGGACTCTATAGTTTATACAGAAATTTCTCATGTGTCATCCCTGTAGCAATCACTTGAGGTAGCAATGATTATTCCCCATTTACTGGATGAACTTGAAGGCTATGGAAATACAATGAAAACCATGAAAGTCACAATTTAGTAATTAAAGGATCTAGTACTAAAATCTAAATATTGTAATGTCAAATCCAGTGTTTTTCAAAATAAAGAAGCAAAAACATGTTGCCAAGTGTTAGCACCCATTCAGTCATTTATTCACCATAGTTTATTGGAAGCTTATTATATGTAAGGCACTAACAGCACGGTAAAGAATCAGGAGTGGCTCCAGCTCCCAAGAAGCGAATGGGCTAGTAGGATGGATGGTCCATAACACCTGTGTTGCATTCAGAAAATGTAATGGCTATGAAAATGTGCTGGAAAAAGTGCTGTGGAAGTTAATGTAGAAATTCAGTAATTATACATTTCAGTAATATTTTTGGTGCAAAATTCTCATATTATACCTGGCCATCTTCAGAAACACTATTTTTCTTCCCTACAACAGTTTCAGTTGGGTTCAATTTTATATGAAATATTCTTTTGAAGGTCAACAAGCAAGTTCCATATTACTGGCATAAACGATTAACTTGGACAAGAATCCAAGATAGAAAAATAATTATGAATAAGTCTGCGCCCAGGTTTATTTGAACTTGTTGGGTTCATTGAGTCTGGCACTGCATACCAAGTAAGTATGAAACTGTAAAAATTTATATTTTGACTAGTATTTTTGATCATAACAAATGTGATCTATGAATTAATTATAATGCTCAATTCAGTAGTATGCTGTCATATTTATGCCACCAGTGTACCTTCTTCAAAAAATAGAGATTGGCCGGGCGCGGTGGCTCACGCCTGTAATCCCAATACTTTGGGAGGCCGAGGCGGGCAGGTCACTTGAGGTCAGGAGTTTGAGACCAGCCTGGGCTACATGGTGAAACCCTGCCTTTACTAAAAATAAATAACAAAAATTAGCCGGGTGTGATAGTGCATGCCTATAATTCCAGCAACTTGGGAGGCTGAGGCATGAGAATTGCTTGAACCTGGGAGGTGGGGATTGCAGTGAGCCGAGATGGAACCACCGCACTCCAGCCTGGGTGAGAGAGCAAGACTCCATCTCAAAAAAAAAAAAAAAAAAAAAAAAAAAAAAAAAAGAAGGAGATAGTAGCAACTACTGCAGTCACTATGTATAGTCCTATAAAGGTATAGTTTAAAAAAAATCTATTTACTTTGAGAATCTGGCACAATATGGAAACCATTTGTTTAAATTCTTCTATGGTAGAACAGTTCATTATTACTCTGAATTGGATATCTATCACTTGTCAAGGTTTGGCTATATCAAATACCTAATCTCATACAGCAAAAGGCAGAGGTATTCTTTGCAGAAGGGCAATAACATCTTTCTGTTAACAATATTATAAAAGACTGTATAATTGTTTGTCGTCATTTAAATTGTGTGGTTATACTTTAAAGAAAGCATAAGCTATGGAGGCTAAACTTTAATAGTAAAAACTGGGGGACAGTGAATAGTAGGGCAAAGTGTAATAATAAAAAAATCAGATCGTGCCTGTAATCCCAGCACTTTGGGACGCCGAGGCTGGCGGATCACTTGAGAGACCAGCCTGGCCAACGTGGTGAAACCCCGTCTCCACTAAAAGTACAAAAATTAGCTGGGCGTGGTGACGTGCACCTGTAGTCCCAGTTACTCGGGAGGTTGAAGCAGGAGAATCGCTTGAACCCGGGAGGCGGAGGTTGCAGCGAGCCGAGATGGCGCCACTGCACTCCAGCCTGGTGACAGAGCGAGACTCCATCTCAAAAACAAAACAAAACAAACAAACAAAATTATCAGAGATGCTATACAATGGAATGTATAGTTTTCACAGCCTCACCTCCGACAGGGTCTTGCCCTGTCGCCCAGGGTGCAGTGCGATATCGGCTCACTGTTGCCTCCTCTTCCCAGGCTTCAGCGATCCTCCCGCCTCAGCCTCCCAGGTAGCTGAAACCACAGATGAGCACCACCACGCCTGGCTAATTTATTTTATTTTTAGTGTAGGCCCAGGCTGGTCTGGAACTCCTGGGATCAAGTGATCCTCCTGCCTCCTCCTCCCAAGGGGCTGAGATTACAAACCTGAGCCACTCCGCCTGGCCTTCACAGCTTTTCAATCTGGTTCATATCCTTGTTTTGAAGTGTAATTTCTGCTTCTGCTTCACTTTCCTCACTGGAAAGGAGGGTTAATAACATTTATCTTGCAGGATAACATGAGACTTAGAGATAGCCCACAGGTCGGGGCATCTATTGCACAATATAGTTCAGCTCCTAAGAAAACCAACCTAGCACAACCAAAATGTGTGTATTTGTGTTTAGTTGTTTCATCCCCATATTGAATGTGCACAGGATTTTATTTCAACTACTATTTTTACTATACCATTTTTTTAAATGGAGACTTTGAAAAGATATGAAACACAATCCCTGTCCTCCTAAAAGTTTGTGAAATCCCAGCCAGAATGTCTTTGAAACCGTCATTCAAGTAGGGCAGTTCTGCCGAGGGCTAGAGAGCCTTCAGTTTACCCTTGGCAACACCCTCTAAAATCCCCTGTATACCTCTCCAGCTTCCATACACTTCCCAAGCTTTTAACCAGACACGAGACACCCTGAACACCAGCTGTTTAGCATTTAGATAAAACCAAAAAATGTTTCGAGAGGTTGACTCCAAAGATAGCAAAAGATGAAGAGATTGAAGATTTAATCGCGAACAAGCCACCCTATTCCTAATAATCATCACGCTTGGCTGGGCCCCGAAGGAAAAGCCTGGACCCTAGGGGCCTAGAAACAGAGAAAAGAAACAAATGCACAGCAGTTGGGCCACGTCCACCTAAGGAACAGTCACCGCACAAGCGGAGCGTTGCAGAGGAGCCCTGGATCACCCTCCCAGGATCGGAATGGGTGCGGCCCGGGGAGCCCGGTTCTAGGTGGACACCGAGGGCTGGGGAGCAACCGGTCCCGCGTGCCTGCCCGAGGGGCTACTGCCCCCGGGCGTATTTGCATCGCCACACCATCGGATGAAAGTAGCGTGTACGGCTCCAGAAAACACATGTCTCTCGGCTATTTTCAGGGGGGAATGCTGGGCACCCTCTGCTCTAAGTCCCTTGGGGTGGGAAGTTAGTGAACTTTCAGAATGGGGGAAGGCGCAGCCCAAGCGAGCCGGGGGCAGGGTGAGGGGGCGCCGCTGGATAGAGATGGGGGAAGGGCGGAGGTGGTTTCCTGAGTGTCTCCCTCCGGAGCCATCCCCGCGCTCAGCCAGCAGGACCGAGGAGGCGCGGAGACGGCGCTCACTTCTCCCCTCGCCTGCCGGCTTTCCAGTAAAGATGCGCCAGGGAGAGGTGTAGCCTGCTCGGGAAAGGCGGGTGCGGAGCGGGAGCGCGGCCGCCCGGGCCTGGGCGCGGCGGGAGGGGCGGCGGCGGCTCCTCACTGCACCAACCTGCAGGCGCGGGCTGGCTGGGCCAGCCGCGGCCCCTCCCACCGCACCCCACCCCCGCCGCCGCCGCCGCCCCGGGAGCCGGCCCGGGTCCCAGTAGGTGCCGCAAGGAGCCGGCGAGCGGAGCGCCCGCTCGGGACCGCAGCCGCCGGGCGACGTCGCCGCCGCACCGGGCACTTCTGTCTCCCCGGAGCAGGTTCCTTTCCCTCCCTGTCCCCTCTCGTCCCCCTTCTCCCCGTCCGTCCCCCTCCGCCCCCGCCCCCGCCCCCGCCCGCACCTCGCCCTCCCTCCTTCCGCCCCGCGCCTCCCGCGATCGCCCCCTCCCGCCCGGCCGCGCTCCCAGCTGGCGCTCAGCACCCCGCGCTCCCCGCGCCCGCTCGCTCCTCCAGCTCCTCCAGCTCAGTCTCCAGCTCCACCTCCGGCTCCCGCTGGGCCTCCCGCTCGCCCTCCGCGCCCGGCTCCCCGCGCGCCCGTCCCGAGTCCGCTGCTCGCCGGCGGCCGCCCGGTCATGTCAGGATGGAGATCCGGCAGCACGAGTGGCTCTCGGCCTCCCCCCATGAGGGCTTCGAGCAGATGAGGCTCAAAAGCCGCCCCAAGGAGCCCTCCCCAAGCCTGACCCGAGTGGGCGCGAACTTCTACAGCAGCGTCAAGCAGCAGGACTACAGCGCCAGCGTCTGGCTTCGGAGGAAAGACAAGCTGGAGCACGTAAGGGCGACTCGCTCCCGGGGGCCTCGGCCAGGCACCTGCCGCATGCACCCTCCCCGTGGTGGTGGCATGAGCGCGCGCGGGGCGCGGGGGGCAGGCGAGGGGATCCTGGCAGGCGCCGACGTCCTAGGTCGGATTCGGGGGCTTCTCTGCCTGCAGTTTCTTGCCTTAATGACCGGGCTGCGGGGAGGGGAGGGCAGGTTCCCTTTCAGGCTCTTGGTCCCTGCCGACCCGACCTGCCCACCTGCGTCTCCCGGTAGGGTTCATTTGCACGGGGTTCTGGAGGTGCCTGTGCAGAGTGAGCACGAAGGGGAAGTGCCACCAGCGTGGCTCCGAGCAACCTGGCGTTGCATGGTAGTGGGCTTTAGAGCGGCGTTTGCCCGCGTCTTTGGGGGCTGTTTTACTCAGTCCAAAAACTAGCAAATTAACGAATGAGTAAAGTTGGCGCCGCTAGCGACCAGCGTGGACCCGCGCACAAGCCATTAGAGTTTTTTGCAGAGTGTCCGCTGGGATGAGCAGTTGGTGATCCTCTCTACTTGAGCCCAACTAGGGAGAGATTTGCGCGTTGCAAGGAGAAAGGCTAAAAGCGAGCGGATCGTCGGGCTCCCCAGAAATCCTCCCCTCTGGAGGGTGGGAGCCGGTGAGAGGGGACCTCTACTCCCAAGGAGTGCCGACTTCACGCGAAGTGAATTGGCTCTGGAGTTGAGCTCCTAAGGCTTGCTATTTTGAAAGAAAAAAAAAAAACCTTCTAAAAAGGCGTTTAGTGGATCCACAGTTTCAAATTTGATCCATCAGCATCTTCTTAAACCAAATGTTAAAATTAAACTAAGAGAATTATCTCAAGAGTGCAGCACAACTAGCTAAGGAGAAGATGCTATTTCTCCCTGCAGAGCTGCAGAATCCAAATTGAGTCTGCTAATGGAATGTGGAGGTTTCCTTGTATTTGGGTCAGGACGCCAACAATGATAAAAAAGATAAGACCAAGAACTCCTGGAACTCACGCATTTCCAACTGCTGCACCGACCTGCTTCCCATCTGCCCCCCAAAGCACTCCTCCTGGGCTCTGCAGCACCAACAGGCTTCTTCCCAGGAGGAAACACGCGAAGAAGGGGCATTTCTCTATTATAATAATCTGAAAGGAAGGTCTGTGCCTGCTTTCTGAGGGCCTGATGAAGTCACTGAAAGCTCTAATATGAAGCTTTGAGTTGGATAACAGCACTATTTTATGTGTAGAGAGCCATTTGCTAATGTCAAAGGGATGCCTCATATCCTTAAGACTATGGAAGTCGCTGAAGGTTTCTAGGATGGCAAGTTGTTTGAAAGGCAACGTATCCATTAAACATGCCCTCTCCAGAATTAGTGAAGGGGCTGGTGGTGTTATTAGTTTAAAGGGGGCAAACAGCATCTTTATGCATTACATGCAAAGAGCATGTAATCAACCAATGATGTGGCTGATTTTAGTATCAGGGATAACAGTCTAGCCTTGGGAGGGTGATAGAACGTATCTTCGTTTTAGTTTCACTCTGAATGTATGTTCTTTTGCAGTTTGTGCTTTTAGCTGGTCTATTTCCTTTATTCTCTTACTGAAAATCAGTGGTGCAGCCTTCTATGACTATGTCTTGAGTCATGAGCGGTGCACGCATTATACTTAAATGCTTTCTCACTTTTAGATTTTCATTGAAAGTATCAAGTCATACCATGTGTGCCACAGCAGTCTCACCTTTCTGCATGAGTATGGGATGCTCAGCCTCCTCTGAGGATTGGAGACCAGGGAAAGGAAGATGTGGTTATTTGAAAGCGTGTGAGCATCTATGCTTTCTTCTTCACTCAGATACTCCAAAAGAGAGCATTGCATACATTTTTAAAAAAATCATTCTCCTCATTTGATATTTAAATCAGTGTAGCATTTGTTTTACTTTTTCAACTACATTTAATGAGAGATGCATATATCTATTCTGATGTTTTTCTCTACACACCCTTTCAATTAGAAATGGGGCTTTAAATAAATTTATTGGTGGTATTCTCTTGCTCCTTTGAAACATCACGAACATTTTTAATGAATTAATATTAAAGAAAGTGCTATGAAAAATTAAATTAGTATACAATATAAATTTTTTTTGAATTCAAGAGCTAGTTGTTTATAATATACGTCATGTTGAATGCACTATAATATTTCAGGTAGTTTGATGGTAATTTCTAATAGAAATTAATGTTTGAGATGTCAAAAACCTATAACAAATGTAACCTGGTATCATTGCTACAGAAAGCATGAAAATCTAATGTTGACTTCATTGTAAACAACATTCTGAACATATATGGTACCTTCTGATTCATATGTTGCAGGGATTAGGATGAGTGTGTCATGTGAAATTCAAAGGTGATATATGGTAGTTTAAAAACACCCTTCTGGTCTGTCTAATCAAATGGATGGCCACTTTTTTATGATGTTGAAAAAATAAATTAATAATTATGATGGAGATCATATGCCTGAAAACAGCCTACTCAGTTATTTTGCTGGTGCTTTAAAAGCCAATCTAAGTATTAAGGAAATAAATAAGTTATGACTTCAAATGACACACATATTTGGTCATCATAATAACAGAATTCCCCTGAAATGAAATGTGGCAGTGTGTGGGCTCTGTCCAGACTTCAGAGGGATAGATTAATCTGAAAGTCAATCATGTGAGATAAAGCAGACAACCAAAGAATGGATTTCCACCCACTTTGCTAAAAGTGAGAATAATTTATTTCTTCTTTTCTGATTTAAAGGCTGCTGGGCCAATTCTCAGGTTGGACAAGAAAAAAATGACCTGAATTAGTTGAGGATTGGAATCAATCTTTAAATATGGTTCCTGTCACTGGATGGTCGACACTTAAGATGAACACTTACTAAGAAATAAATGTTTATAGAGAATCATTCCATACTAAAATAATGAATAAGAAGCTGCGAGGAAGTCGTGTTTTGTAACAAGAATTCTGGACTTTGAATTCCACTGTGAAATTTCAGGAAAAAGTAAAATTGCTGGCCATACACAGAATGTTGTATTATTAGTTACAAATAATGCTCTTGGTTGTTAAAATCTTTTGTTTCCTGTTCTGCTTCATAATGTCCAGAGCTTTGGAAGGCATTAGGCTTGGGAAACAGTGGAAGTTCTGTTCTCTGTAGGATCCTGTATTTACTTTAGGTCTAATGTAAAAGTGAAGGATTCTGGTCCAGCAAAGCAAGAGGAGCAAGGGACTACTTCCAAACCCTCTAATCCACCCCTGCTCTTGCAGCCTCCCTAGGGCTGGGTTGCTTTGGAGGTAACCATTTAATAAGATGTGACTATCCCAGAGGATAACATGGCGTTAGGCTGGCATCCTTTGGTGCTGTATGCTTTTTTGAACATTTTTCTTTTTTAAAGGGGAAGAGATGCAAAGCCCACTCTACTTTGTTGCCTGGTTTTATGCCAGCTGCACTGTACGGAGGTTTCCTGGTGCTATTTATGAAGATGGAGATGCCTTATTTTCTCTCCTACTTATTCAATTAGCTCCTGTCAAAGTGTGGTTAAGAGTAGGAGCTCTGGTAAGAGGGATCTGGGTTCAGACTTCGATATCATTTCTTATTAATTCTGTGGGCAAAGGGCTCACAGTTACCAAGATGCACAACTGTGTTCCCCCTTAGAGAAGTCGCTGGTTTGCCATGATGAAACAAGACAATCCATGTCTGTAGTGCAGGAACGAACATTCTCCAAATGTCAGAGACTCGGACACCACGAAAGTATACTTTCCACCTCACATATCTCACCTGTGCCTATTGGCTGGGGACCATCCTCATCTTGGTTGCCTTGCCCAATGGAAGCTCCATTCTGATATTGTTTTTGTGGCTGCCAAAGCAGCTAAAGAGCAGTTGGAAAATCATGTAATGATTTAGGCTTTCAATGCTTCCGCCCAGAAATCATCCATTCATATGACTCATGTGTATTGGCCAAAGAAAGGTTCATGGTCAAGGCTCACTTCCAGAGTAGCACAAGGGGATCCAGCTAAGACCCAGAAGGAAGGGAACATCTGTGACCAGCTCTCACAAGACTGCTGCAGCATACAAAGCACTTAGTGCAGTGTTTGGCCTGTATTAAATGCTCAATACACAGTAACTGTAGGTATATGACTTCTCATGTGCTGCCTGGCTCTAGGGCTGAGTCCTCTCACTCTGCCCAAAGAGCTTCCAGATTTCAAATTTGAGATCAGCCTGTATGATGATCCTGGACGCTAAGTGAGTGGTCCTTTGGTCGGCAAGGCTGGCTCACTGTCTTGGGCCTGTTATGCTGTCTGTTTGCCTGGCTTCCCATCCATCATCTGGGGGCCTGACTCTTCTTGGCTAGTGGGGCCCTTGCTTGCTCTGTGGCTGGCCATTCTGAGGCTGACTTTTCTGGTTCTCACTCTCTCAGCTGGTCCTGCTAGCAGAGACAAACTCTTTGTCCTCTCTCCAACCTCTGCTTCTCTTCCCAGCTTGTGCTGGTGGAATTAAGTCAAGCAACATTTCATTTATCGGCAGGATGTCTCAGAAAGCCCATTTAAATTTGAAAGAGAAAGCAGAAGACAGATTTGGTAAATCATAAAAGCAGAATCCTTAATGTTCTCACCTGTAGTGAGCCGTAGTATCTTGATTTATTTAGTAAGTGCCTCACACTTAAAAAAAGATTGTCTCCTCTAAGTGTGAATTTGCACCTACTTAAACAGAGTTTATGTTACCAGTGAATAGTAAATAAATGCCAAGTGCACACTTGCCTCCTGGAATAAATTGTTTACATGAGGAGCAAAGGATAAATGGATTGGAGCACACTTGGTCACAGCGGTCTAGGCTCATATTATGTAATGTCATTTTTGTCCCACGGAGCAGATCCATGAAAATACTGTACCCCACAGGGTGGATCCGTTAAGCGCCAGAAGACAGAGTTCAACCTAAGGGAATGAATCTTTAAAATGTTCCCTTAAAAATCCAACAAACAAACAAAGAGTCTGGCAAATGCTTAAGAACATTAACATTTACTGGGATCATTTCCTGCGGTTTTAGATAAACAACACAGACAAGCTATAGTTGGAGGCAGGATTCTCTGCCGCCTCCAACTCATCAGTCAAGACATGAAAGTGTAGATGTCTCATGAGTGTCTTCCAGTGGATCTCAGGGCATGTCCATCACTGTCCTTGTCACCACTACAGTCGACATATATCTACCCACTAACGGACTTCTCTCACTGCAGGTTGACATTGCAGTGTCTTTTGAAGAATTTTTGGTTTCTATGAACTCTCTTGGGTGTGGCTTGACTTATTTTAACATAATCATAGGGACATATCATATTTAATATATTTAATTTGAGAAGCTCTGGATGATTGAATACAAGTTTTCTTTTTCATCTCTTCTTCCATATAATAGCTACATGCCAATTTCTGGCTAGTTTCTCTAAAAGTTTTTACTTCTCTCTATAGACTTCTATAACTATCTCAGGTTTAAACTTAAGTAACAGTTTTTAGTTCTTAGTTCTTCTCCAAATAAATCTGATGAGTCCTTTGAATTCTGGGACATGGCAGTAGTTGTAATAAGTTATGTTCTCTTACTGAATTGACTGATAGATGGCATAGTTAGACAGACGTGGAGTCTGTGGCACGATCTCACACCAGAAATGTTGCTTAAACTGTATATATTGAGGACATTAAAATTACCCAATTGCTTAAGATCCATTCCTGCACAGACTATGTGCTAAAAGTTTAGGGTACAACGTAAATGTTGAGGTGCAGTTGAAAGGTCAAACTGTGGCTGTTAAGAGATAGCCCTTTTAACCAAAAAAGCATGTTTAAATTTTACTCGGAAAGAAAAAGAGCCCAGTTTCTAAAATCACAAATCTAGCCCTTATGAAAGAGTTAAGTGAAGAATGAGGCAAACTTTCCCAGGTAGCCTTATCTGCATTGGAAAGTCTGACTGTGCCTGCCAGTTGAAGTCGGCCCAAGTTGAACTACCTGCCTGGGCATCATGGGACTGGATGTCATGACCGTTGGGTGATAAATATATTTCTTTATCCTCCAGAGTAGGCAAAGAGCCTTGTGTTTCACTGACTTGAGCTATTACTGTGCTCCTGCCAGTATGTTGTTAGGTCTGATCCAGCAATAACATGAGGAGTTAATTTGAGAGGATGGGACTCATTGACATAAAAAAAAAATACCAATTGGCAAACTCATCAGTCACCAGATATTTACTGAGTGTCTTTCATGTGAAAGATACTGTGTTAGGAAGCTGTGAGGTCTTTAATTCAACAAGCACTTATTTGACATATACTGTGTTATTAACAATGTTATTAAATACAAAGACCAGTGCAGGGTCCCTTCCCTGAAGATGTTTAAAGTTGTATAAACAGAGTTACAATATAATGGCAGTGTTATGATTAAATAGAAAAATGCAAACTATTAATAGTGTAAGAATACTGCCTTCAAGGGACAGGTTGTTTAGATGATAAAGTATACTTAAAAAAAATAAGCAATGGATACTGTCATACATAATGATAATGTATCATAACAAAATTCATTTTATTCCAGTAATGCAAAGTTGATATGAAATTTGAAAATCAATTACTATATTTTATCATATTAATAGGATAAAAGAGTAAGACCATACAATTATCTCAACAGAGGAAGAAAAAGGATTTGATGAAATTGTGTACCCATGCATGACAACATTCTCAACTGACAAGAAATAAAAGCAATCATTACTATTCCGATAAACCATTTCTTTAAAAAGAATCACAGTTAATGGCGAACTATTGAAAAATTATCTGTGCAGATTGTGAGTGAGACAGAGATGTCCATGGTCATCGCTTTTAGTTGGCATTGTACGGAAGTAGTAGACAATACAATAAAGCAAGAAAAAGAAATGAAAATATAAGAATTGAAAATGTGTAACGACATTATCACTACTAGCAGACAGTATGATTGTGTACATTTGAAAATACAAAATAAACTACAGATATACTTAATGAATTAATACTGTCACTGGATTTATCAGGACCACTGGATTCAAAGCCAATAGGCAAAATTTAGTTATTAGAAATTCCAGTCTAACACTTAAAAACATTACTATTTACATGAACATAAATATGTCAAATACTTAGGAATAAATTTAATAAAAGCTGGTAAGACTTCTTTTTAATTCTCCCCTAAATTGACCTATAGAGTAGATCCATTTCCAATTAAAATGTCAACAAGTTTGTGTGTGTGTGTATTGAAAAATGATTCTAAAATTTATATGGCAATGCAAAGGGCCAACAATAGCCAAGACAATCTTTAAAAAGAAGAACAAAGCCTGCTTCCAGGCATCTAAACTTATTCTAAAGCTAGATTAATTAAAGCAGTGTGGTATTGGTGCAAGGATAAACAAATGGATCAACTGACAAACTAGACAGTGCAGAAACAGACCTGTGCAGATAGATACTTGATTTATGACAAAAGTGACTCTGTAATGCAGTGGGAAAGAGATAATCTTTTCAAAAAAGGGTGCTGGGTCAGTTGCATATCCACATTAAAATACGTATTCATTTGTGTTTTAATATGAATCAGTTTAATATGAGTTGTAAACCTAAATTGGAAAGTGAAATGAGGCTTCTAGAACAAATGTAATAAAAAAATTCTTCATCAACTTGACTAAGGAAAAATTTTGAAGCAGTTTTAATAATCCCAATTTATTAGATTAGTAAACTGGACTATATTAGAAGTAAGTGCTTTTGTGTATAAAATATTTGATTAATAGCATGAGAGACAAGTCACAAAGTAGAAGAATATGTATATATATATATATATATATATATATATAATTTAACTTTAGAAGAATATATTTTTAGCACACACTCTGACAAAGAGTTTTAATCCAGGATATGTAAAGAGCACCTACAAATCAATAAGAAAAATGTAGACAGCCCAACAGAAAAGTGAGGAAGACACTTGAACAGGAACTTCACAAAAGAGGATAATCAAATGGGCAGTAAATGCATGAAAAGGTGCTTGATGTCATTAGTTATCAAGGAAGTACAAAATTCAAACAAAATTATACACCATTATTCAAACACAAGAATGGCTGAAATTAAAATAAAATAATTGACAGTGACCAAAGTATTGATGAAAATGGGGAGCATCTGTAGCTCTCATAACTTCTGGTAGGACTTCATTCATAGCTGCTTTGGAAAACTGTTTTTGCAGTATCTACTACATTAAACACATCTTTTGATATTTTGACCTATAAAATTTAAATTCTATGTATATATCAAATAAATGTGTGCTCAGGTTAATGAAAGACATATACACAAATGCTTACCGAAGCATTATTTTAGTTGTTCACAGTAGGATGCATCCCTAATATCCAACTATAGTTGAATGGACAATGTATTGTAGTCTATCCATACAGTGTAATACATTGAGCATTGAAAAGAGATTTTATATATATCTATTGCATCTGCATGCAATAATGTGAATGACTCTTTCAGGCATAATAATGAACGAAAGAAGACAGACATAGACAGTATGATTCCATTTATGTCAAGAAACAGGCAAAGCTGGCCAGGCGTGGTGGCACACGCCTGTAATCCCAGCACTTTGGGAGGCCGAGGTAGGTGGATCACCTGAGGTCAGCAGTTTGAGACCAGCCTGACCAACATGGTGAAACCTCATCTCTACTAAATACAAAAAAATTAGCTGAGTGTGGTGGCACATGCCTGTAATCCGAGCTAGTTGGGAGGCTGAGACAGGAGAATTGCTTGTATCTGGGAGGTGGAGGTTGCAGTGAGCCAAGATTGTGCCATTGCACTCCAGCCTGGGCAACAGTAGTGATACACACACTCTCTCTCTCTCACACACACACACACACACACGCACACACAAAGGCAAAGCTGAAGCATGGAACTAGGACTCAGAATTAGCGATTACTTCTGAGGGTAAAATGGGCACGAAGGAGGCTTCTGGGGAGCTAATACTGTTCTATCTCTATTTTTAGGTGTTGGTTACGAAGTAAACATTTACAGAGCTATACACAGAAGATTTGCATCTTTATGTAGATTTCCATGATAGTTTACAAAAAATAAATAAAATGCGTACAGTGCCCTTAGCCTTGCTTACTGCTTCTCTCCAGCTATACCTCCTCAGACTCTATGCTTCTCCTGTCCTCTCTAACCCATGGAGGTCTTTGTCCTTGATGTTCTCTGTCACTGTTGTCTTCATGTGGGTGACTGCTGCTTGTCACCTCTCCCTGTATGGCTTCCTGGGTCCTTCCCTCTCCTCACCTCCCCATCTGCTTTAGACAACCTTCCCTGTTATCCCATTGCACATAAGACACTGTATCTAGTTAGAGCTTTATTTGCCTTTCCCACTAAACTACTCACTCTTTAATAAATTCTCTTTTTTAGTAGAACATCTATATTTTATTCAACAGGAGGGAAGATAAAACATTCTTTTTTTTTTCTTTTTGACTTTTTTCAACTTTTATTTTAGGTCTTGGGCGGGTACATGTGAAGGTTTGTTACATGGGTAAACACATGTCACGGGGATTTGTTGTATCATATTTCATCACCAGGTCTTAAGCCCAGTACCCAGTAGTTATCTTTTTCTGGAGTTCCTTCCAGGAGCAATTGTTTAGTGAATTGTGACCTTCTTGCTTCAGAGACCTTAAATCATGCCTTGTCCAGAGAAGGATATCAAGGAAGGCCTCACTCTTGGTGATGGTTCGTACTGGTAAGGACCTGGAGGAAGAGCTGCCAGTTGTAGGACTGGTCTGAATTAAGACTTTTGAGCAGAATCTGGACAGCCAAAAACTGTTTGGGAGAGCAGTGACTTAACAAGTATATCTGGGGACAGAGTTTATTTAGGAAGAATTGGGTGTAAAAACACCCACAATGGTAGATTAATGGGCTTGAGGACTTGGAAGATACTGGGCTTTATTCTGTAAGCAAAGGGGAGATATTTGAATAGATACTTTATTTGAAAAGCCCAGGTTTCAGAAAATGTGGTGGCATGCAGTGTTGAGGAATGAGAGCCTAGAATTGGGGAGACCAGTGTAGCATCTTTTTTAGTGGTCCATATAGGAATTGTGAAAAGGGAAGTAAAAAGAGGTGATGGAAGTAGAAAACTAATGAGGCACCGATGCAAGAAGTATTGTAAAATAAGAGCTCATGGGACTTCCTGTTGAATTGGATCTGGTGAGTCTGAGCAAGCTCATTCATTCAGGAAACGTTTATTGAGTGCCACGGATGTGCCAGAAGTTGTGATTGGCATGATGGACACAAGAATGAACAGGGAAAATTCCAAAGACTACTTGAGAGTTGGAATTCTGCTCTTTGTATCTTGGACCCACACCATTGTTATGGTCTTGATTCATATTATCCATCTTTGTGTGATTATAATTAACAAACATTCCAATACCTACTGCCTACAGGGAGTTGAGCTTCAGACTTCGGAAGATTCAGCATATATGAGTGGGCCTTTGGCCTCGGGTTACTTATGATCTGGTTGTCTTTCAAGACTCAATTTACATGTCATCATTTCTAAACCTAAAACCTGGTTGGGTGTCCCTCCTCTGTGGTCCCATAACACCATGGACAGCATATTATAACCCTTAACAATACTGTTTTGTTTTAATTGGCTGTCTATCTCTGCCCTCAATGGAAAGTTTTTGAGGGCAGCAATGGTGTCTTATAAGAAGGTACTGTTAATGCCAAGCACAGTGCCTAGTAGATGCCTAATATTGATAAACTTGACTATTGAAACAGCAAGTGAACGAATGAATGAATGTGTGTTGAGTGAGACAGGGCTTAGACCCTTGAGTGAAAGAATAAGACGGCATATGCTACCTGCCAGATGAATGCTACAGATGTCATATGCGACAAAAATTCACTGGAGGCTGAGTGCAGGTGACTCAGGCCTGTAATCCCAGCACTTTGGGAGGCTGGACTGGGAGGATCGCTTGAGATTAGGAGTTTGAGACCAGGCTGGAAAACATAGTGAGATCCTGTCTCTACAAAAAATTAAAAAATTAGCCAGGCGTGGTAGCACGTGTCTATATGCCTGTAGTCCCAGCTACTCAGGAGGCTAAGGTGGGAGGATTACTTGAACTCAGGAGGACGAGACTGCAATTAGCCATGATTGTGCCACCACACTCCAGCCTGGGCAACAGAGTGAGACCCTGTCTCCAAAAAAAAAAAAGAAAAAATAAAAAAGAATTCAGTGGAAAGAAACCTCAGGTTTGCATGAGAAACTACTGATTAGGCATTCACACAGTTGTAATTGTCAGATGAAGAAGGTAATATACAAGGCTGCATCTGAACCATCCCACAGGTTGAGATTTCATTGATTTTCTCCTGAGACTTGGGAAATGGAGTCACTTTAGTGATCTATGTCAATATCCAGTGTTATTGTTTATGGTAGACTGTTTTGGGAGTTTCAACTTCCATATGTCTCCATTTTCATTAGTCTGGAGGAGAACATTAACTTTTTAAATTTTTCCTGAGTACATTGTTCTAGCTTGTTGCCTTGCCTGAATCTGCTAGCTCATTATTTAGCTTCTGCCCTGCTGTGGCTGAGTGCACTTGATCAGAGACGGTAAGACACTCTGCAGCAGGGAATGTGTCAAACCCACCAAAATACTATTTTTTTTTTTTTTTTTTGAGATGGAGTCTCTGTCACCCGGGCTGGAGTGCAGTGGCACGATCTTGGCTCACTGCAAGCTCTGCCTCTCAGGTTCATGCCATTCTCCTGCCTCAGCCTCCCCAGTAGCTGGGACTAGAGGCACCCGCCACCATGCCTGGCTAATTTTTTTTTTTTTTTGTATTTTTAGTAGAGACGAGGTTTCACCGTGTTAGCCAGGATGGTCTCGATCTCCTGACCTCGTGATCTGCCCTCCTTGGCCTCCCAAAGTGCTGGGATTACAGGCGTGAACCACCGCACCCAACCAAACCCACCAAAATACTCTTAAAGGCCGGCCAGCCTTGATTATTAAGAATCTTCTACTCTGACTTTCTGACTCAACTGATTCCTAAGTTTTCCATTCCCTGAAATCCTATCACTTCAACCCACGATATGTCCGTGACATGTGCACACATTGCTAAGAGTCTGCCTATGAGATTCCCAATGTATCTTTCTATTAAAAAAACTTTAATTTGGAATACCTTTAGATCTACAGGAAATTTGCAAACATAGTACAAGCATCTCCTATACACCTTTTTCCTGATTTTCATTTCCCCTAATGTGTTAACACCTCAACTCCACACTTTATTTGAATTTCACTAGTTTTTAAATTAATGTCCCTTTTCTGTTCCAGGATCTCATCCAAGATACCACATTGCATTTAGTTGCTGTGTGTCCCTGGTCACCTCTTGTCCATGACAGTTTCTCAAGCTTTCCTTATTTTTCACCACCTTGACGGTTTAAAGGCATACAGATCAGGTCTTTTATAGAATGTCCCTCATTTTGTGCATGTCTGATTTTTTTTTTTCATCATTAGACTGGGATTATGGGCTTTAGGATGGAGTACCACAGAGGTCAAGTGCACTTCTTGTCACATCATATCATGGCATACATGCTATTTACATGACATGATCGATGATGCTCATCTTTATTGTTTGGTGAAAGTAGTGTTCGCCGTGTTTCTCACTATAAAGTTACTATTTTTCCCTCTCTACACTCTAATTTTTTGAAGCTAGACATGAAGTCCCACATCCCCACATTCAGCAACTCCTGGGCTAGGGAGTGATTGCATTTATTCTTTGTAATTTTTTGTAAGGAAGATTAGTCTATTTTCCCTCAATATCTTATTTATTCAAACCTTTATTTATATCCGTAGACCCCTGGGATATTTATCTTATGTTGTGGGTAAAATCCAGTTCGATGGTACTTTTATGATTCTTTAAGTTGTTCCTGCTTTGGTCATGAGAAGCTCCTTTAGGTGAGCCCCTGTGTCGCTTGGACATGTCCACATCCTTTTATTTGGGGGAACTTCCTTATGCTGTGGTACTACAGAATAGTCCAGGTTTACCTCATGTTCTGCCCCTTCCTAACATCTTAAAGATATTTTCTCATAAGTATATTACAAATGATATTACATTTTCAGCCCCCACAAGGTCCACTCTTAAAAGGCTCCAATAACAGAAATACATAGTCATTTAATATATCTGGTAAAATCTCAATACAGATGTTTTTGTAAAGATGAAACATCTTCATTTGAACTTTTTTTTTTTTTGAGACAGAGTCTCGCTCTGTCACCCAGGCTGGAGTGCAGTGGCGCGATCTCGGCTCACTGCAAACTCTGCCTCCCGGGGTCATGCCATTCTCCTGCCTCGGCCTCCTGAGTAGCTGGGACTACAGGCGCCTGCCACCCCGCCCAGCTATTTTCTTGTATTTTTAGTAGAGACGGGGTTTCACCGTGTTATCCAGAATGGTCTCGATCTCCTGACCTCATGATCCACCCGCCTCGGCCTCCCAAAGTGCTGGGATTACAGGCGTGAGCCACCGCACCGGGCCCATTTGAACTTTTTATAAAACTCTTGAAATATCCTTAATTATAACCCTGGCCTGTAAACTCTCATTCAGATGATGGAGAGACGTCTTCTACTAAGCAAATGACAGAGCAAGCTAAGTGGTACAGTGACTTTATGTAGTATCCTAATATAGTGTGTGTGTATGTGTGTGCATGCATGTGTGTACAGACACTTTCTTTGTACATACAGATATTGTTATTCTTTTCTTTCCAGCATGAGTGGTCTGTTGTTGGAGAATCATGTTCTGCACTTGGCAGTCATAATTCCATTCGTATTCCGTGGTTCCCCATTTGGCATTATTTTCCGACCTTTTTTTGTGTGTGTGTGTGTATGTGCTTAGAATATTTGGCCTGCGTGCGGGAAAGGGGTCTTCTATAGTCAGCCATCATGAGCCAAGACACTATTATCTGAGATTCAAATCTCCTTCAAAAACTGACTTGGAACTTTCCAACACCAGCCCATTCATTCATACTAATAAAACATCTCCAATGAGAACGAAGAAAAGATGGATAAGAAGAGAAGGAAGTATGGTGGGATAGGCATTGAAATGCTTCAAAAATCCAGTGCTCCAAGGCTGATGCTAACTTTGGGTGGGGCGTTTCAGGAGTGTGAAAGTGTGAAGAATGTACATTTATCTCTGGAGTCCCTAGCTCTCATTTCAAGATGCTTTTTCTCCACACTGATCAGCCTGCTCGTGGTGCTGCTCCCAATAAGCCGCCGAGTAATTCCTGTCTTCTCATCCTCCTGACTTCCTGGTCACACCAAGAGTGTTGGCGTATTGGTGGCTTATTCATAAGTGTATCCTATAAGCCAAAAAATGAAATTAATTATCATCATCGTTGTGGCTTTTCTTCACTCTAGGGAATGTTACAAAATGAGGTAATAAGAAGACAACAATCCCCAGAGCTTTGTTGAAGGTGGTTTATGAAAAGGAGAGCTTTACTATCTCTCTGCCCATTTTCTTTAACAAAAAACAAGATGAATTAGAAGGCCTCATGTCCTCTAAGTGTAAAGGAGGAAGAAAGAAAGGCAGGGGCCGCATGGAACAGATGGAATATCCCCGCTGATAACTAGCATTTATATTGACAAAACATCAATAATGAGCAGTGTACAAGGAGGAGTTCAAAGGAGGCAGGCATTTACCCTCTATGGCATTTATTTATTTATTAAAATGGAGTCTTGCTCTGTCACCCAGACTGGAGTGCAGTGGTGCAATCTCAGCTCACTGAAACCTCCACCTCCTGGGTTCAAGCAATTCTCCTGCCTCAGCCTCCCGAGTAGCTGGGACTACAGGTGCATGCCATCACGCCCGGCTAATTTCTTTTGTATTTTAGTAGAGATGGGGTTTCACCTTGTTGCCCAGGCTGGTCTCAAACTCTCGAGCTCAGGCAATCTGTCTGCCTCAGCCTCCCAAAGTGCTAGGATTACAGAAGTGAGCCACCACTCCCAGCCTATTTATTTATTTTGAGACGGAGTCTTGCTCTGTCACCCAGGCTGGAGTGCAGTGACATGATCTTGGCTGACTGCAAACTCCACCTCCTGGGTTCAAGTGATTCTCCTGCCTCAGCCCCCTGAGTAGCTAAGATTACAGGCATGCACCACCATGCCTGGCTAATTTTTGTGTTTTTAGTAGAGATGGGGTTTTCCCACGTTGGCCAGGCTGACTTTGAGCTCCTGATCTCAAGTGATCCACCTGCCTTGGCCTCCCAAAGTTCTGGGATTACAGGTGTAAGCCACTATGCCTGGCCCTCTATGGCTTTTAGATAGTTGTCTTATTATTTTATTAGGCTACTTTTTTTTTCTATTTGGATATCTCACTTTACTTGACTTTTGTATTGGGTTTAGAATAACCGTCACAGGATTGGTATCGAGATGAAGGAAAGAAGTTGATATGTCCAGGCAAAATGTGAGCGTTGAGGAAAACATATTCAGGCAAAAAGATTTGCAGACAGAGATGAGCTACTGGGAATGGTGAATGTACTGACCTTAGTGTACTCTTTTATTTCTTTCCTGTTTTTAAGAATGGGAGGATGTGCTTGTCGGAAGTACAGAGCGTGGTGAAGAGCTCCTCAATATGGCAACCCTGAAAGAGTCTTTGGGCTTCTGATTAGGAGTTGGAAATGATATAGTTGGTCATTTCCATCTGGTCACCTAACAAAATTTTTTTTTTTTTGAGACGGAGTTTCACCCCTGTTGCCCAGGCTGGAGTGCAATGGCACGATCTCAGCTCACTGCAGCCTCTACCTCCCGAGTTCAAGCGATTCTCCTGCCTCAGCCTCTCAAGTAGCTGGGATTACAGGTGCCCACCACCATGCCCAGCTAATTTTTTTTTTTTTTGTATTTTTAGTGGAGACAGGGTTTCACCATGTTGGCCAGGCTGGTCTTGAACTCCTGACCTCAGGTGATCCGCCCACCTTGGCCTCCCAAAGTGCTGGGATTACAGGCATGAGCCACTGTGCCCAGCCAAACACACATTTCTTTAGCTTAGAAACCTGCTACTGGTGAAAAGCTATTTGAATAGAATTGCTGGTCGGCATTGGAAAAAAAAAAAACAGATTAAAAAAGTCTTTACTGAGAAAACGACTTAAAAGGCAAACTTAATATCATCCGTGGAGAGAGAATAATAAGTCCTACAACCATTTATTAAATGTAATTACCACTAAAGTAAGTAGGCCAGTATCTAGCCTCGCACCTATTCTGAATCTCAGGCTTGCTTATTTCCACACTAAAACACAGCAAGATAAATGGGCTTTAAGATAAATTGTTGAGCTGTTATTTGGGCTATTTATCTAGGAAAACATTTCCTTCCCGATATGAACAGAGTAGATTTCTAGTTGCATTTGGAACTGTGTTGTTTTAGCCAATGGACCTGTTCGAAGAAGAAATAAACTTAATACAATCTTTGCCAGCTGTAATTTCAAGATTAGCTGTCCAGTTTGAGTAGGATATTTGGTCGATTGATTTATCCATTCATTAACATTTAATTCTATAGCTCAGGGCAGTCACCAATAAGGTATAGTTAACCACATGGATAATTTAACATTTTATTCACTGTCACTATTGCTATAGTAAAAGGACCATCATTATAACAAGGAAGGTCCTTTCCAGTGCAGCACCTTCCTAAGAAGAATTGGGGGTTTCAGCAAAGCTCTATTGAAATGTAGAGGCTTGAATGACCTCCTGGCCTCAGTCACTTCTGCACAACATCCATGGTTCAGATTTGTGTCTCAAAAGTTTATGAAGTACCATATGAGATTGAATTTCAGGGTTGCTGGTAAAAAATTTAGACCAAATACATTAAATCCCCAAATGCCAAAGGCCTGCTGTTTTTACAGCTTTTCTTAATCAGAAACATTTTTTTCATGTGTGTGTTTTAAAATTTGTGGTGATCAGGGATCAAAAGAATTTCTAGGCATTAGTTTTGCTAAAGATTACTCTTCTAAGTAGCTTACCTGACTGGATAAAGTCCAGAGATAGACCCTTATATAACTGGGAAATGGTACTCTTGCCAAGGATACCACTTCCTGCCGCCTGGGCCACCTCTCACCCTTGGCATGACACGTGCTGCTACTGAGGACGGTGGTGGTGGCTCCCGCTGTGATCACCGTTAGTACCGCGTTGCTGTCCTATTGCTCTCATAGTCACTTGCAGATGCTGAATCTGGGACTGGTGCAGAGGCTGGCATTGCCTGAGCTCCCGCACATCCGCTTGGAAGCTGAACCATGCCAGTGCACTACGCCACTTTACTGGACTGGGAAGAATCTTTTCCCGTCCAGTATTTCGCTCCACACTGACCTCTTGGTTTCAAAGTAGCTCTGCTTATGTTTCCAGCGACTTGAGGTTTTTCTGTGGAGATGAGCTTTACTGTTCCTGGGCCCCTTTTCTTTTCCTAGGGCCTATTCCTTTATGGAGGCAAAGCTTTATGGTGGAATTGAGAGAGAAGAAATGTGTCTTTCTCACTGTTGCCCCTCTCTACCAGTGCCTGGGTTACATCCTGATTTCCTATTCTTCCATTTAGAATGCATGAATGCATTTTTTTTCCTAGGAAGCTCATTATTCCTCACGCTGCAGTCCTTAACCCTTCTCTAGTATGTATAGTTTCAACAGAGTCGGCCTGGGCTCAATCCTGAGCTGCTCATATCTCTGTCTGGGAAGTTCATCTTCTTCCTTGAACTAAATAGCAAACGTGGATGCCTTAGTAAAGTGAGAGTATCACAGCCCAATTGTCCTTACACCCAGGCGCCTCCAACTAGAGAACAGATAATATGTAACTTAAGTTTAATTTCCTAGATATAGATCACTAAGATGTATATACCTTCCCTCTTATTTTCAATTGGTTCATCATCCATGCAGCAAGGAGTAACCATCATTACTAACTTGCCAAAGGAAGCGTTGAACCTCTCGAGGTTCCCCCAGTGTTAAAATTCTCTATGTAGATGCCTGTCACTTACTGGTTGTTTGGCAAATGGGTCTAACATGTATCAGAACTCTTAGTACTTTTATATGACTGGTAACACCATTTCTCATAAGTTTTTAAGACAAAAATGGGAGCTTTTATACAGTCTGCAGCAAGTGCTATATATTTGTTTTTCACTTACTGGTTTTTATTCAAGTCTCTTTAATACTTTTCATTTTCAACTCCTACACTTGTGCTTGCACTGCTTTTATTACACCATAATTCTGCTTAGAGGTGCAGGTGGCAGTGGGTGAAGGAGGTAATGATTCCCCAGCAGGCTGGTTGGTCTGTGGATGTGGACATGATTGCAGTATAACTGCAGTGAGAATACCCATGCCCCTCACCTCTGAGCTCCTCGGGCAACTTGAGGTCTGCCGTTGTCTTTCATCCTGAGGACCAATGATGCTATTTTTAACGCACAGCTCAGAGGGTAGGTCTCCCTTTCTCTGGTCCATCACATGGAACCTTAAACTCCCATGAGATGACGTTGCAGAACCTTGCCATGATGTCTGTGGAATACAATAAAATCATAATCACATGAAGAAAATGTGCCCATCACAGCCTCCCTGAGAAATGCATCCTTATTTTCTTCATCTGTTCATCAGTTGATGGACACTTAGGTTGATTCCAGAACTTGGCTATTGTGAATAATGCTGCAATAAACATGGGGGTACACTCCATAAATATGTACAATTACAATTTGTCAATATTTAATAAGAAAAGGGAAACTCATCCTTGTTCAGAAATCTACTCTTGGGGTCTAATTAAACCTTCCTGTTACAAATAAACCCATTTCCTCATTGCTGTGTCCTCTTTAAAACAGAATAAAAAGTGGTGATTCACTTGACAGTTTTTTAGGGGGAACAGCTTCAAACCACCAGTATAATTTCATATTATTGTTAATGTTCCAAATTTTATTTTTAAAAAATTTTTTGAGACAGTGTCTCACTTTGTCACTGAGGCTGGAGTGGAGTGGCATGGTCACTGCTCAGTGCAGCCTCCACGTCCTGGGCTCAAGTGATCCTCCCACCTCAGCCTCCTGAGTAGCTAGGACTACAGGCACATGCCATGATGCCTGGCTAATTTATGCTAATCTTTTTAGAGATGGAGTATCATTGTGTTGTCCAGGCTGGTCTCAAATTCCTGGGCTCAAGCAATCCTCCTGCCCTGGCCTCCCAAAGTACTGGAATTGCAGGTGTGAGCCACTGCACTCAGCCCCCAGTTTTAAATCATATAAATTACTCAGCATTTCAGCAGAGTTATGATGTGCAAGAAAATTTTGGAAATTCAGAATAATAAGAAAAATTAGTTTTTTTAAAAAAAAATATTTGGGAAAATCATGTTTCACCGAGGCAGAAAACACCTTTTCCCTAAATATTCAAAATGGATTTTTTAGAGAAACAAGTTGCTGAAGTGGAGACAAATAAAATATATGCTACAAAGTAAATGTAAGCTATAAGTTTCTTCTGGGGGAGACTTTAGAATTTATTTTTAGATATCACAGTTAAAAAATGCTTTCATGGATGGAGGCAGTAATTGCAAAAGAACAGCTTGCTGATAATTGCCCTGTGATTAAAGATTCAATTTGTTTAGTATGAAAATGAATTGAGTAACCTTCTTGGCTTTATTCAAGGATGATGACTCCTAAGTGGGCCCTATGGATTGCAGAGCCCTAGAGGTTGAAATCTCATGCATGTTGTAGTCTAATGGGGCCTTGAATGATAGTAGTTGATGCTCATATTAGTCTATTTTTTACTTAAGAAAGCCCCAGGACTGAATCATTTGAAGACACATCAGCTAGCTGCTTTTGACAAAACTCTAAGGACCAGAATGATGAAAACAACACATTTTGGGTTCCTTTGAACTTTTTGTTTCAGTCAGTTGGACCTTCCTCCCCTCCCTTCATTGGTGCATCGAACTTCGTTTATTCTATATCCCAAAGAGCTAAAATAGATAAAATTATTTCTGGTAGGTACATTTTTTTTTATGAGAGAAGAAATGACAGGCATGTGTTTTGTAATATAACAACAAAACAAAATACAAACTAGAAGACACCCATATTTGGTTAGTCTGTGTCACTTGTGATAAGTTCAGCATTAACTAAGAGAATACCCAAGGCAGAATGTCTTAAATAGTAAAGCAATCTTTTATCCCACATAAAAAATGTGAAGAGTTGTTAATTCAGCAGCTTAACAGCATCGTCAGGGTTCTTCCCACCTTTCTGCTCCGCATCAGCAGGCTCTAGAGTCTGTTTCAGGTGTTAAAATGCCATCAACGGCTCCCGACATCATATCCTCATTTAAAAAAAAAATTCAAAGGCCAAAAGAGAGCACTTGACCTTATGTCCCTTTTTAAGAGCAGTGAAATGCTTCTTAAGGCCTCTTTCCCATTGCACTCACCATCATTGGCCAAAGAGTTCCATACGGCTATTCCTAAACCAGTTGCTGGCAAGGGAAACGGAAGACTTCCCATTGTGAGGTGGAGGGCATCTGGACTTCCTTGAAGCACAGGTCTGCTTATAACTTATCAAAATTGGAAGCCCTGTGCTTCAAGGAAGTGGAGGGGTGTTGTTAGATCATTTTTGCATTGCTATAAAGAAATAAATGAGATTTGGTCATTTACAAAGAAAAGAGTTTTAATTGGCTCATGGTTCTGCAAGCTGTACAAACATGGCACTGGCATCTGCTCGGCTTCTGAGGAGGCCTCAGGGAGCTTTTACTCATGGTGGAAGGCAAAGCAGAAGCAGGACGACGCCTGGCAGGAGCAGCAGCTAGAGTGAATGGGAGGGGCCACATCCTTTTAAACAACCAGATCTCGCGTGATCTCACTCATCACCAGTGGGATGGCACTGAGCCATTCATGAAGGATCTGTGCCCGTGATCCTGACACCTCCCACCAGGCCCCACCTCCAACACTGGGGTGACATTTCTATGAGATTTAGTCAGGACACAGATCCAAACCATATTAGATATGGAGTGGTTATTGGGTGGGAAATCAGACCTCCGCAGGACTCTGTTTTGTTTTTGTTTTTGAGACGGAGTCTTGCTCTGTTGCCAGGCTGGAGTGTAGTGGCATGATCTTGGCTCACTGCAACCTCTGCCTCCTGGGTTTAAGTGATTCTCCTGCCTCAGCCTCCCAAGTATATGGGATCACAGGTGTGTGCCACCACGCCAGGCTAATTTTTGTATTTTTAGTAGAGACAGGGTTTTGTCATGTTGGCCAGGCTGGTCTCAAACTCCTGACCTCAGGTGATCCGCCCACCTCAGCCTCCCAAAGTGCTGGGATTACAGGCGTGAGCCACTGCACCCGGCCCCACAGGACTCTGTTTTACAACTTCTTTCTATCTTCTCCATCTTAAATTTATTTGCAGAAGTCAGGAGATACGCACACACACACACACGCACATACACACACACACGCACATACACACATACATGCCCATGCACTTGCGTAAGCACCCATAAACATGTAAATATTATGTAATTGATTAGTTGTAATTTCCCTGAGACTTTTGTTAAATGATTTGAAAAAATGCAAGAAAAGGTATCTTTTATTTAACAGTGTTGCATGTTTTGTTATACTGTAATTATGTGAAAATTAGCACTCTTGGTAACTGTTAATCAGAATAGATAGGTGATTATATAATTCTCTCCTGTTACTATTCTGAATAAACAAGAGTCTACTAAAAACAAGTGTTACATGAATTCCTTTAAAGGGCAGTATGCGTGCTTGGCTACTAATTAGATATGGGAAGTGATCAAGAGGACTAAGGCTGGATCACTCAGTTTCCTCTTGGGTAAGCTCCTAGACGGTGGCCATCGACATTGTAAATCTAGGGGCAAGCACAGAGTTTGAGGGGCACGGTGATGACTTATGTTTTAAATATGTTAAGTTTGAGGTTCTTGAGAGACATTGCAGTGGAGAGGTCTAACAAGAGTTAGATGTGTGTCTGAAATTCAGGAGGACAGCTGGGTTGGGTTGCAGACATAGACTTGGGAATCCTTAGTATGTAGGTGGTCGCTGCAGTCCTAAGAGTAGATAAGATTAACAAGAAACTGTGTCTTAGCATCTCCAGCTATTCTCAGGTTTCTGTTCTGTCCCTCTCCTTGAATGATATTTTCATACAAGTCAATATATGTTATTAAGTCAAGTCATTTGTTCAGCCAATTAACAGATATTAACTTATATGAAAATATACACAGACAGAATATACCCCAAGTTAATATATCATCAAAAAATAAATGTTATTATTTATATTTAAGGTACAGCATGATGTAGTGTATATATATATATATATATAATGGAATATTAATATATCTTAATTTTAGATTGAACAAATAAGAATTAGGAAAGTATGTCTTTTAAATCTATTTTTTTCCAGCCATAGAATGCATTGTAAAGCTTACAAAACATTCTCTTTGGATTTTTCCATGCTTTATTCCTGAGTCTTTTATGTCTATGAATTCCAATGAGAGGTGCTTGGTTCCAAAACAAATGTAAATAGGTTTAGTTTTCATTCCGTTTCTTTATGAGCATTGATCATTGAGAATTTACAGTGCTCATGTCAATGAAACAGGCAGATGCCTGCCCCAAAGTGGACAGAACTACAAATCTGGCAAAGCTAAGGAAGGAGGAGGGTGAAGGTCATACGAGAGTTAGTGGATTAATAATATGAATGATTATGATTTATTATATTTCTGTAATTTTCATTATTACAGAGGAGAAGTGTGTCCTGTACTCAGACATGCTCCAGTCCAGCTGCTTCGCTTTCTGCTCAGATTTGTTGGTCTGGGATTTCTTAAAGCACTGGTGATGAGAGAGAATTTAGGAGGTACAGACATGCTATGGCATAATTTTGGATTCTTTAATGAGGAAGGGATTCCTGCTTCAGTTCTCTAGTAATCCTGCCTATTTAATGAATGGGAAAGCTCAGTTCAGTGCTAGTGAGTCTTTAACAACTGTCTACTGTCTACCATTAACTTCAGAGAGACAGACAGACAGAGAGAGAGGTGGGTGACATACCTACTCATACTAATGTTCCATGTAGAGGACTGACACAAAATTTATTTTCCTTTTTATGAAAAGGTACTTAAGTTAAAAAAAATGAGTTGACTTAAAGAAAAACGTTAAATGATACTACTCTAGGTGGTATGTGGATATGGCTTCTAGTTGCTGTCCCTAACCTTTCATCTTCCCTCTATGTCACCTGTGAAGCCCCGACATTTAGTTATTCCTAAGCATAGCTTCCTTGATCAACATTCTACAGTGGTCCTCTCCTGAATGGAGTCTTGCTAGCAGACCATCCTTTCTTTTCATAGTCCACCTTATTACGGACTACATCCTGTCTCCCTCAATTTTGGATGTTTTAGGCTCCTGGGCTCTGTACCTTTGCTCCTTCTTCTCTTCTTCCCTTCCCCAACCTGCTCACGGCAGGAGTTTGATTCCAAGTCCCACCCACACATCAAAGCCCTGCTGTAGTGCCTTAGTTACTGACTGCAACTGTACCAACCGTCACATCTTTCTTGCTTTTATGAATTTCTGTTGCATCTTTGATCAGTTATCACAGTTCGGCACTTAATTGCACTCCCATTGTTTCAGGTACTTGTCTGTATCTTAGCAAATTATTTTCCGTATCCTAGCAAATGTCTTGCTAGCAGGGATGGTCATTTATTCTTGTCTACGGATACTGTGCATAGAACAGTGTTGGACAGTTGATTATCAGAAATACATGTTTAAGCGGTTTAACCAAATAAACTGTGTTTTCTAAATAAACTGTAATAACCAAATGTGTAACCAAATAAACTGTATTTTCCAAAAGCTGGTATGCACCTAGAAGTGTCCCAAGATGCATGAGTTTGTTTTTTTAGCACAGTGGTTTTTAAACATGGCCACAGATTCTTGATCCCCATCCCTTGAAACTGGCTGGCCCTATGACTGCTTTGACCAATGTACTATGACAAAAGCTACACTATGTGACATCCAAGGCTTGATCATAAAAGACTGTGCGGCATCTGAACCATTATTCTTGGAGTTCTGAGCCACACTATAAGTATGACGACCCTGTGTCCGCCAGGCTGCAAGGAAGTCCAAGCTATATTGAGAGGCCCCAGGTAAGCACTGTGGTCAGCCATCCCAGTTGAGCCCCCGTTTGGTCATTCCAGCCAAGGTTCTGGACATGTGAGTGAAAAGGCCTGTAGATGATTCCTGTAGTTAGCTATTCCAGTCACTCCCAGCAACTTAAGTCTTCCCAAGTGGAGGAAATAGACATGTTTAAGCAAATATAAGCCATCCCTCCTGGGCCCTGCCAAATTCCTGCCTGCACAATCCATGAGCACAACAAAATAGTTTGCTTTATGCCACCAAGTTTTGGGGTGGTTTGTTCGACAGCTATGGGTAACTGGAACACTTCCTTAAAAAGAGATCATAAGCCTTCGTAGTTCATCCCCTGTGTAGCCCATCTTATTGCCAATTACACTTACACTAAAACAAACAAAAAGTGAAAAAACAAGACAAAATGCGAAGTAAGAAAGGGAGATCTTAAAAGAAAAAGGGGAGTAAAGTGGCAGAAAGCAAAGGCCACGGACATAATCATATCAATAGAGATGTAGATACAGATATATGATAGATAGAGGTAGATAAATATGAAGATATAGATAGAGAAAGGCTAAGATACATTATTAGCATAACTATTATTGGTAGATTTCACTTCCAAATTCTTTATAACAGTAAATCTACTTAGCTAAATTCTTGGCTGCAATTATTATTCTTTCTGCCAATTTTTATTTCTCCATGGAACCTACTTGCCACATATAAAGCCTGAGAAAAGAAGTAACTATGTCCAAACTTTTCCCTTAATCATCTTCTCTAAGATATTAATGAGCAATGAAAATGTGAAAGTGGCTTATTTTATTAACTGTCAAATAGATGAAAATTAAAGGAATAGTAAAACTTCTTTTATCATTTTAAAAATAATACTGTCAAATACTGGTGAGGATGCAAAGAAACGAATCCTTCCTCTTTTGGGGAGAGTAAATTGTAAAAACGTTTTTGTCCACTAATTTGGTAGCATACATCAAAACATTAACATGGTTAATATGAACACAATTAATATTAACACTATTAATACCCTTCAACCCAGAAGTATTTTCTGTAATGAATTTGTTTTAAGAAAGTGGTTATATATGCATAAAAATTTTCTTTGAGAATGTTCATTCCAACATCTATTCTTTAACTTATTTATTAGACAAATATTTACTAACATCTCTTCAAGGCTAGGTGGAGTTCCTTGCCTTGGAGGTGAATAGGCACTAAACTGATCCACATGTGGCAGACTTTAAAATGATAAGTTCAACGAAGAAAAATGAAGCAGTGAACAATTGTGGGGAGTGGGAGCCATTTTAGTTAGGAACATTAGGGAAAGCCTCTGTAAGAGGGTGACATTACAGCAGTGTTAGTTTTAATAGAAAACATAAATTTTCAAACATAGGGACTGTTGAATAAATTCTGGCACATCCAGGCAAGGGAATAAACATAGCAGTTGAAATAGTAACAACATAACAATGTTTTTCTCATAAATTTCAATTAAGAAAAGGAGTTTAAAAAAAGATGTTTAATGTATTTTGTACATTTTCTATAACCTGTATGTTTATAATAGAGGACTACATCTCACAGGGAGAGAATGAGAAGAAGGAGATACTCCAAAATATTAATACTGGTTGGTGCTGAGTAATGGGATGAGGAATAATTTTTATTTTCTACTTTTGCTTATCTATATTTTCTAAAAAGTTCTACAATCAGCATGCAAGGTCTCATAAAAATAAATTGAAGAGGCCAGGTGCGGTGGCTCACGCCTGTAATCCCAGCACTTCGGGAGGCCAAGGTGGGCGGATCACGAGGTCAGGAGTTCGAGGCTAGCCTGATCAACATGGTGAAACCCTGTCTCTACTAAAAATATAAAAATTAGCCTGGCATGGTGGCACACACCTGTAATCCCAGCTACTCAGAAGGCTGAGGCAGGACAATTGCTTAAACCCGGGAGGTGGAGGTTGCAGTGAGCTGAGATCGCATCATTGCACTCCAGCCTGGGTGACAGAGCGAGACTCCATCTCAAAAAAAATTAAATAAATAAAATAAATTGAAGAAATAAAAAGAAAACCTGATTCTTTCAAACTACCTTCCCTCTGCTCCTGCTTTATTCGTTTGCCATCTATGGCAAAGCCCCATGAGGGCAGCCACCCTGTTGACTTACTTCCTTCCTTCCGCAGTGCTTGGCATAGTGCCTGACTCATAATATGTGAGGACATTATAAATGATTCTTGAATGAAGAGACACATAAAGACCCGATAGAAAGCAGAGCTGTATTTGTCGAGCAGTTTTTATGTTCCAGGTATAACACTAGGTTCTTCAAATATGTTATCTCATTTAATTTCTGCAGCAACAGTGTGAGGGAAGGATGAAGCTCTCTTTTTCATGCTTAGAAAACAGAGGTTTAGCGAAGTTAAACAGCCATATGTGGAGACCTGGTATTCAAACCCAGGCCTGTTCCAATGGATGGCTCAGTCCACATTTTATTGCCTCTGGAGTCTTTCTGTCCCCACCTGCCTCCATACACACACACAAAGGATGTGGCCCATACATATAGAAAATTTAGAGGAAGAGAAAGATCTTTTTGGGCAGGTGCATTGCATCTGAGAGGTCATTTTTTCCTTTATTAACATAAATATAAGTAAGAAAGAATGATGTCTGATTGGACTATAGTAAAATAATAAGACATCATTAATAGTTTTTAAAAATATGGCAACAACATTTGGTAAGGTTATCTGGTGTCATTGAAAGAACTCTGAATGTTGTGGTATTAGTAGGTCTGGGTTTTAGTCCCAGCTCAGGCTCCTAATCTGTGACATCTTTATGCAGTAGATGTAGTTTTGGCTGCATGTAACAGAGCTCCCAAAGCAGTGGCTTATGAAGATAGAACTTCGTATCTCCCTTACATGAAAGTTAAGACGTAGGCAGCTCCTGGATTTGTATGAGGTCTCCGGTCTCCTGGGACCCCTTCCAACTGTCTGCTTGGGCTTCTGGAGTGTGTGTTTCTCTTCCACAGAGTCCAGCCCACTTTCTCAGCCAGAGGATGGAGGAAGGGCAAGAAGGAACATCTGCCCTCCCCTTTAGAACACATCCTAGAAGTTGCACTATCACATTCCTGTCCATCCTGCTGGCTAAAACTTAGTCACATACTGCAGCTAGCTGCAAGGGAGGCTGACACATATAATCCTGCTTCTGGAAAGCCAAGGGATGAGCTAACATTCAGGGGTGTTTTGTGAGGGCAGATATTAGGGGACACTTAGAAATCTATGCCACAATCCTTTAAGGACTGTTCTAGAGTTCTGAGCTTCTTTAGATATCCCTAAAGACACCAATTGTATACATATTCTGATGTGTGTGTTGTGTATATGAAAAAAAATGAAAGAGAATTATAAATGACAATATTGGTAACTTTTAAACTGTGGTTTCACTTAGTCCTCTGATAGAAACAATCTCGCAAAGTCTAATGAAGTGCAAAGAAAGTGAATCTATCCAGAAATGCTTTTTAAAAAACTGCCAGTGGGAACATAATCAAGTGATGTTTGATAAGGCTGTGGTAGAAGCTATTAAATCATTACCTTATATGACATTAAATAGCAAAAACCTCCATTTTATAAAATTATTGAAAGGGATGTCAATCTGTGCCTACTGAAGTTGAAACTGACTTTTTCAAGAGTAATTGTGTGGAGTATTATTTTCTTCAAAGTTGCCTTCCATCTTAGGAGAGCAAAAATTCAAGCAAGACAGGTTTTTTTTCCCTTTCTTCTTGGCTTTATCTCCCTTACACAGTTTAAAAGAGAATTAAGCTTATTTTAGTTCTCTGATTTTTTTCCCCCATTGCAAACATTTTCTGGTTGGAACGTAATCCAGTGTTCTCAGATATTATTTTGGTCTAGGAATGTCCCTGGTTGTACAACAGAGGCACTAAAGAACAAATACACTTTCCTTGCCAATGATAATTGCTAAAGCAAAAGGGAACATTTGAATTTAAGTTCTGGTAATAATTTCTTATTTACATTACACCAATTTGATGCCAAAAGTAATGGGGGTGTTATGGTTATATAATTAAACATGAAACACGACAACATGTGGAAGGTTAGGACCTCTTGTTATTATTTCATCTGCTTTTTATAATAACATATGATGTTTCCCTAGGGGGTCTGATGATAGATGATGGTAGTCTCTAATATTTGAATGAAGAATGCAAACATTGTTACTTTAAATCAGTGTTCTCTGTGCCACAAGCAGCCTAACTCTAGATGAGGTGGTATTGATTTTTAACCAGTGATTGTTAGAGATTAGAAATCAAACTAATCACATTCTGTTCCCTAGATCTCTTCTCTCCTTGTTAACATTCTATTTTTTTCCATTTTTATTCTTCACCCACTTATTTGTTCACCAATTTTCCTTGAACACTAATATGTCTGTAAGAAAATTATGGTAAAGACGTTCTAAAATAGAAATAACATCTCAGTAACATTGAACATATTATTTCCTTGCTAATTTTAGAAGGGTTGCTACGTCTTTGCTTGTGTTTCTCCCTGGGATACTGCTTACAGCTCGTGTCTTCACTGCTTTTTCATTCATGAACTTGTTTGGAATCCAATTCTTCTAAAACTTTTCTTATTCTCTGTTTGGAAAACAAACAAACAAACAAAAATCAATGGACCTCCTGCTGGAAGAAGTGGTGTCCGTCTAGCTAAGTCCTTCCCATGGGGCCCTTGGGTGCTGGAAACTGGTGAACAAGCATTTTTTGAGCATCCACATGGTTCCCAGCTGGGCACTGGTTGGGGGAGATTGGAGAGGACTTTGTCAATTAGACAATGAAGGCATTTGGTTTGTGCTTCTGAAGGCAAGAAGCAAAATCTAGTTTATGTCATCTTCTGCTAAGTATGGGTTTCAGTTGAGGCAGAACTGTCTGCTTGACTTGGTTAAGTGGTGTGCTTGTGAGAATAGTCATTTTATACCTAAGATAGAGTAATAGCACTATTTCCTGCTGCTTCTCAGGAATGTGGTCACTTAGATAACCATACAGGCTCCCACTTTCAAGGGAGGACTTAGGGACCAACTGCAGGACATTAGTAAGGGACAGAAAACTGACACAGGACAAAACAGCAAAAAAAAAAAAACAGAAAAGAAAAAAAAATTGGGGGTTGTGTCAGCCAATTTTCAAATAGCCCACTAAAGTTTTGCAGAATGAAAAATATAGACCATGAGTTATATCAAGATTATTATGGAAGAGCCCTCATAAAGAAAGGATTGGTGATAATAGGGTGAAGTTCTTTTTCAGTTATTGAGACTCTCTGGATGAAAGAGTCAGATGTGAGTTTGGGACAGTTTGTGGTCATTTTGGAACATAAAATAAACCTTGGCTGGGGTTTGAGGTAGTATCCAGCAAGCAACCGCAAACACCAGCCGGTTCTGCTCTGTAAAGCCTGGTGCAGAGGTAGATATGTTGGCTAGAGGCGGGGAGATGTGTGCTCCAGGAGGTACACAGTGAGAGTCAGTGATCCAGGCCGTAGGGACAGACTTAGAGCAGGAAGAGGGGATGGGATGGCAGAAGTGATGGGAAAACCATGTCTGCAGAAACTGGGATAAACCATCAGCTTAAAGCCTTTATCCAAAAGCAGAGGGAGGCTGCTGCAGACCTGCATGTGGCAGGCAGTTCACGTAGCTCTGTGGAGCATTTAAATGGGGGCTGCCACATGCCTAAGTGTGCCTGGTGTACAGAACAGGCGTTCTATAGGGCCTGCGGTAGGACAGCATCTTGCATAGCCTGGGAAAAGGGGATGTGAGTGCCATTTGGCCCGAGTTAGAATTAGGAAGGAAGAAAAGTCAGGAAGGACACCAAAACTTAGAATCGAGAGAGGAGAGGGGAGGAGAGGGGAGGAGAGGGGAGGAGAGGGGAGGAGAGGGGAAGGGAGGGCAGGGGAGGGGAGTGGAGGGAAGGGAAACATGAAGCATACCAATGCAAAGGCAAATAAATGCAATTATTAGAGATGGTGAAAGATAAAAAGGAAGTTTTCTGAGCTACCTGAGCTCACTCTCAAGAGCGATATTTTAGGTTAGAACTCATTGCTTAATTCCTTTTCGACAGAGCTTAGCTATGAGAAGGGATTTTTGCAGTCAGGAATACTAAAAAGAAAGCGGTTGTGCATATTATTTCCAGTCCTTCATGTTATGGGTTCCTCTCTGCTGGAGCACTGCTTGTGGGACTGACCCCATGGAGCCTTCCCGGCACCAGGGGATGCTGAACATGGATGGTCTGTAACTATCCTCTGCTGGAGGCCCCAGAGGGCATGTGTGTGGGTGAGAGTAGTGAGTTCTGAGTCCCACAGGGCCCATCCTGGCAGCTCCCTGGGGCTGCTTTCTAGACAAGCCCGTCCTCTCTCCAGCTATCCTCGGTGGCCATGTGGCAGCCTCCAGCTTTGGAGGTGGCGGCGAGGGCAGGGGGCTGGCGAAACTGACTGCTTGTCCCTGGCTTCTACCAGTCCTCCCTGCCAAAGGTGTCTCATTTGTTCTGGCCCTCCTCTTCTGCAACATGAAAATTTCCCTCTGACCCTTTGGATGGACGCTGTCCAGAAGCATAACCCGGTGCTCGCCTCTCTCCTCCTGTTCTGACCCCTGCATGTCGAGGCTTCAGCATGAAGGCTTCAGACATTCGCTGCGTGGCCTCCCAGCTTGTGGGCCAACCCCTTCATCTTGTGGGGTTTCCCAGTTTTTTCTTTTTAATAGTCAAGTCCACAGGTTGCCCTTTCCTCTCATTTTGGGAATACTGTGGTGTGTGACCAAGGTCCCTATGTGTATGACAGGAAGGGTAATTGGCAAGTAAGACATTCTGAATAGAATATATGAAAATTGCCAACTTTTATGGTTTTGTGAGATATCCTAAACTATTAGAGTAAGAATTAAAATATTTCTTTTCTAGTGAGCCTTAGCAGAAATGGATATAGGTCAGGTTGGTTTCTTGCTTTTTTCTTTTGCAGTGTATTCAAAACATAGTGTTATGGACTGAATGTTTGTGGTTCCCCCTCCCAAATTCATATATTGAAATCCTACCTCCCATGTGATGGTTTTAGGAAGTAGAGCCTTTGGGAGGTGATTAGGTCATGAGGGTGGCACTCTCATGAATAGGATTAATGCACTTATAAGAAGAAACATAAGAGGGGTGATTTTCTCTCTCAGCTGCATGAGAATACACGGAGACAACAGATGTCTGCAAACCAGGATGTGTGTCTTCCTCAGGCACTGGATCTATTGGTGCCTTGTTCTTGGACTTCCCAGCCTCCAGAACTGTGAGACATAAATATATTTTGCTTAAGCCACTTAGTCTAGGGTAGTCTGTTATCGCAGCCTGGACTAAGACACATAGTAAACCATGTAGGTTGCTTTGCAAATTTTTCAGATACATGGCATTGTTATAGTTTGCAATACCATAGTAACAGTATATGATGTTGTATTCTATCTCTTTTCTTTTTTTTTTTTTTGAGACGGAGTTTTGCTCTTGTTATCCATACTGGAGTGCAATGGTGTGATCTCGGCTTACTGAAACCTCTGCCTCCCGGGCTCAAGCGATTGTCCTGCCTCAATCTCCTGAGTAGCTGGGATTACAGGCACCCACCACCATGCCCAGCTAATTTTTAGTATTTGTTTTTTTTTTAGTAGAGACAGGGTTTCACTATGTTGGCCAGGCAGGTCTCGAACTCCTGACCTCAGGTGATCCACGTGCCTCGACCTCCCAAGGTGCTGGGATTACAGGTGTGAGCCACGTGCCTGGCCACCGTGTACACTATTTTTATCTGTTCTTTCACACTGGTGGCTGGGGAGGAGAGGTGAACAGCAGAGGAGCATAGGAGCATTCATAGAACTCTTGGCTGTGTTCATTGACAGTAGACACCCTCATAAGAGACTGTTTGCTATACTAAAAATTAGTAGACTATGAGGAAAATAAGAAATAAATAGATGTGTTGCACTTGATATGTCATTCATACAGATAAAAAAGATTGTGACTAGCCAAAGAGATGGATTGTGAATTTCAAGCCTGTGATAAATGTCTAGCATTCTTGAGCTCCAAGGTCTATAAAATTTTGATAATTGCAGCATTATAAGAATGGAGGTGAAGAAGGAAGGGATAAATGAGCCAAATGTTAAGAATATGTGTGGAAAGTTACTCCAACAGTTTCATGGAGACAAAATCCTATTAATATCAAGGGAAGTATTAGAGCATCTAAGGATGGCCTGAAGTAAATTATCAAAATGGAGAACACAGTGCCACAGAATGAGGACATAGAAAATCTGAAGACTGAGTTTCAGGAGAAAGAATGAGGCAACATAAAACTGACAAATGAGACTAGAGAAGGTTGAGAGCACAAGAAAACAATGGGATATCTGGAAAATTTTCTTTGTGGAGCAGAACCCAATTCATGATATGATTTAAATATTTAAAGTATTTAGATATAATATACGTGTTTACTATTTTTTGTTTTTCTACTGTCTTATGGAATTGAATTTTGAGTTCAGTGTAGCTGGACTATATCCACTGTGTTTGCCTTGTAAAGGGTTGACAGTGGTGTTTTCTAAGGCATCTATGTAATTGTGTGTTTATGTGTGTGTGTGCGCACATGCACACGTTTCTTCATGTATCTATTATACATATCTCTGTATCTAAATGTCTATCTATATATAAGTAATATGGAAAAGAGGAAGTTTTTTCAATGTTCTCTTCTAGAATTATGATCAACAACTCAGGAAAATACTCAACTTGAAAGAGATTAGTGAATGTGGACTCGAAAGGTCTAAGACAGAGAAAGAAGTTGCTGTAGGTAAGTATACTGAACTCAGAATATGAAAATGAACGAATATTAAAGCTGGAGAAGATGCCAAGAAATTCTAAGAATACAAGATTAGCAGTGGGAATTAGAAATATAATTTAGATCAGTTGAGCCTGAAGAATAACTTAGTGAAGATCAAGGGAATAAAATGTGTCTGAAAGGAGGAGACTGTCATGTCCCAAAGGTATATGTGGGGGGAAACATCAAAGCCTGGTGTGCAAGAAGCTCCTGCTAAGCCTTGTTATTCAAAATGTGCTTTACAAAGAGGAAGCAGGAAGGAGCATCACCACGGATTTTATTAGGAATGCAAAACCTAAGGCGCTCCTCCAAATTTTCGGAACCCCAGGGTCTACTGTTGCCAAGGCTTCAGGGAGCATCACAGTCTGAGAAGCATTAGGGTATGACGTAGCGGTAGGTTTTCTCTACACAGTATTAAAGAGATATTGAAATCCTCAAGATTAAAAAAGAGATGAACATTGAGGAATTCTGTAATGCAGATGTGGGTTCTACACAAAGGTTGCTGAGAACCGAGGCATTGCCATGTAGCCCCAATATTCAGTGTTTTAGAAATCAAGTTTATATAATAAATGAACGTTTTGATGCAGCAAATGAGGAACCTAGACATTCAGTGAAGAGAATTAAAAATATATGTTATTAAGAAAATGTGTAACTGAACAAAACCGAAGAGGGCCAAAAATTAGTAATCCTGTGTTCGAGGTATAGTTTTGAAAGTTTATATTTAAGAGAAAGACTGAAAGAAAATTTGTATGTGCACACATAATTACAATACAATTAAAAAATGGTATTTGGTTTATTTTAGAACACTTTTGCAAAACAGTGGTCTCCAAAGAGCCATGAAACAGCTTGCTGATTTTTGAATTTCTGGGTTTATTACAAATGACTACATAAAAGCCGTGTGGTAAGAAACGAACTTCTGGTAACAGATGGTGGAAAATCACCAGTAAGACCCAAACCTAACAGAGACTGCTTCTGGAGCCATGGTTCTCACTAAGGGTTATTAGCATCATTCTTTGATGATGGGCATTGAGGCATCAGAACTCATGGATATCACAGTTCCTGTGTGGAGAGGAAGCTTCAGATGGTGCTCTTGCACAGACGGGACTGCCATTCCCATTTTAGTGGATCTCTTAAAAGTTCGAATGGCTCCTCTAATGCCTGATGTGAATGGAACCTTTCTCTCTGCTTCAGTCAAGAATCTGGTGACAAAGAAGCTTCATCCTTTCAATCTTACAATTTCAATCTCCTATCTCAAGAAAGCTCATTTCTATGTATTACCAGTGCATCCTCCACATGCTCTTCTGCAGTTGTTCCTTCTGCGGGAAATGATCTCTCCTTTTGTCGAGGCTTGGTGAAATCCTTTGAAATTCTGTTGATTCTGTAAGAGCCAACACAAATACCAACTGCCCTGAATACTTTCTGGCTAAACTGCCACAATGAACGAGGATTCCTCACCCATGTCCCTCCCTTTCCCTTCCTTTCTTTTTATAATGGTATGCTTATTGTTTTTTAATGTAACATTTTTCTTACAAAAGGAATACACATTCAGTGTTAAAATGGAAATGTAGAAAAGTCTTCAGAAGAAAATAAAAATCACCTGCAAATCCATTTCCTGAAGTAATTATTTTTGCTAATGTTTTATTACAATATAGCTCATCCTCTTTCGCTGCCTCTTCCTCTTCTCTCTCCCTTCCTCCCTCCTTCCTGTCCTTCCTCTGTCTCTCCTTCCCTTTTTCTCTCTCTCTCTGGTTGCAGCATCTCTGTTTTTTCTCTGTTTTTTTTTTTAATCAAATGTATCGAGGTGTGACTTACATTCAATAAAATGCACAGTTAGATGAATTTTGAAAAATGTCATAATTCATATTACCAACATCTCAATCAAGATATATAATGCCTCCATCACCCCAAAAAGGGACGGATGATGGACTCACTCATGCTCCTCTGAAAAAAACCCTTTCCCAGCTCTCTGCCACTGATCTGGTTTCTGTCACTGGAGATGAGTTTTGCCTATACTAGGGCTTTGAATAAATAGGATCACAGAGCATGTACTCATTTGTGTCTGGCTTCTTTCACTCATTATCATATTTTTGAAATAGATCCATATTGGTGCAGATGTCAATAGTTCATTCCTTTGGTTTCTTACAGAGATTTACTTCCTCAAATATTTGCTTGATTTCACATTCTTGTTGCTACTATTACTAGAATTCATTTTCAAGTTTTAATCATCAGTACTATAATTTTAAAAAAGAGTCTTTACTTTTAGACGAGTTTTATGTTTACAGAAAAATTGAACAGAAAGTACAGAAAGTTCCCAAATACTCCCTCATCCCTTCCCTGACAGCTTCCCTTATCATTAATATCTTGCATTAGTGTGTTACACTAATGTTGTAATTGAAGAGCCAATATTGATACAGTATGGTTAACTAAAGTCCATAGTTTACATTAAGGTTCGCTGATTGTGTTGTACATTTCATGGGTTTTGGCAAATATGTAATGGCATATATCCACCGTCATAATATCCTACACAATAGTTTCACTGCCATCACAATAGTTTCACCTGTTCATCCCTTCCTCCCCTGAGCCCTTGGCCACTAATGATCAGTATTTTTACTGTATCCATAGTTTTGCCTTTTCCAGAATGTCATTGGAATCACTTAGTATTTAAAAGGCTACCCTTTTCAGATTGGATTCTTTCACTTAGCAATATGCATTTAAGGTGTCTCCATGTCATGATACCTCATGTCTCCATAAGCATGATAGCTTATTTCCTTTTAGTGCTGAATAATATTCTATTGTATACCTATACCAGTTTATTTATCCATTAATCCCTTGAAGGACATCTTGATTGCTTCCAAGTTTGGGCAATTATAAATAAAGCTGCTGTTAACATCAGTATGCACATTTTTGTGTGGATATAAGTTTTCAGCTCATTTGGGTAAATACCTAGGGGTGCAATTGCTAGATGATATGTTAATAGAATGTTCAGTTTCATAAGAAACTGCCAAACTGTTTTTCAAAGTGGCTGTACCATTTTGCATTCCCACTAGCAATTAATGAGAGTTCCTGTTGCTCCACATCTTTGTGAGCATTGATATTGTCAGTGTTTTGGATCTCCGCCTTTCTAATAGGTATGTAGTGGTATCTCACTGCACACCTACATACATACATGTTTTAAAAAACAGCTACTATTAAGTAAATTTAGCAAGGTCATGAAATATAAGATGAATATACAAAAATGATATACATACATGTACATACAATATATACATATAAATTATACACATAAAAACAACCTACAAAATGATATACATACAATATACATAAATACATAGAGAATTATAAATTAATTCTCTAAAGAAATACAATGTTGAAAATCTTCTAATGTGCTTTTATGCCATCTGTATACCTTCTTTAGTGAGGTATCTGTTCAGATCTTTTGCTCATTTTAAAATTTGGTTGGTTGTTATCATTGAGTTTTAGGAGTTCTTAGTGTATTTTAGATACCAGTCCATCAGTTGTGTATTTTGCAAAGATTATTTTCCCAGTTTGTGGCTTGTCTTTTCATTCTCTTGATAGTATCTTTAACAAAACAGAGATGTTTAACTTTAGTAAAGTCTAAGTTATCAATTACTTCTTTTGTGGATTGTGCCTTTGATATTGTATCTAAAAAGTCATCACCAAACCCAAGGTCACCTAGATTTGCTCCTGTATTATTTTCTAGGAGTTTTATAGTTCTGTGTTTTGTTTCTATATCTATGATCCACTTTGAGTTAACTTTTGTGAAAGGTGTAAGATCTATGTTGAAATTCCTCCTTTATATTTGTTTTTTGGTAGTTTTATTTGCATGTGGAGTCTATTACTTTTTACTGCTGAGAAGTACTACCAAATAGTATATTCTGGTATTCATGTGCCACATTTTCTTTTTTTTCTTTGGTCACTTTTTTTTATATATATACTTTAAGTTTTAGGGTACATGTGCACAACGTGCAGGTTTGTTACATATGTATACATGTGCCATGTTGGTGTGCTGCACCCATTAACTCGTCATTTAACATTAAGTATATCTCCTAATGCTATCCCTCCCCCCTGCTGCCACCCCACAACAGACCCCGGGGTGTGATGTTCCCCTTCCGGTGTCCATGTGTTCTTATTGTTCAATTCCCACCTATGAGTGAGAACATGCAGTGTTTGGTTTTCTGTCCTTGTGATAGTTTGCTGAGAATGATGGTTTCCAGCTTCATCCATGTCCCTACAAAGGACATGAACTCATCCTTTTTTATGGCTGCATAGTATTCCATGGTGTATATGTGCCACATTTTCTTAATCCAGTCTATCATTGTTGGACATTTGGGTTGGTTCCAAGTCTTTGCTATTGTGAATAGTGCCACAATAAACATACGTGTGCATGTGTCTTTATAGCAGCATGATTTGTAATCCTTTGGGTATATACCCAGTAATGGGATGGCTGGGTCAAATGGTATTTCTAGTTCTAGATCCCTGAGGAATCGCCACACTGACTTCCACAATGGTTGAACTAGTTTACAGTCTCAGCAACAGTGTAAAAGTGTTCCTATTTCTCCACATCCTCTCCAGCACCTGTTGTTTCCTGAGTTTTTATTTATCACCATTCTAACTGGTGTGAGATGGTATCTCATTGTGGTTTTGATTTGCATTTCTCTGATGGCCAGTGATGATGAGCATTTTTTCATGTGTCTTTTGGCTGCATAAATGTCTTCTTTTGAGAAGTGTCTGTTCATATCCTTCGCCCACTTTTTGATGGGGTTGTTTTTTTCTTGTAAATTTGTTTGAGTTCTTGTAGATTCTGGATATTAGCCCTTTGTCAGATGAGTAGATTGCAAACATTTTCTCCCATTCTGTAGGTTTCCTGTTCACTCTGATGGTAGTTTCTTTTGCTGTGCAGAAGCTCTTTAGTTTAATTAGATCCCATTTGTCAATTTTGTCTTTTGTTGCCATTGCTTTTGGTGTTTTCGACATGAAGTCCTTGCCCATGCCTATGTCCTGAATGGTATTGCCTAGGTTTTCTTCTAGGGTTTTTATGGTTTTAGGTCTAACATTTAAGTCTTTAATCCATCTTGAATTAATTTTTGTATAAGGTGTAAGGAAGGGATCCAGTTTCAGCTTTCTACATATGGCTAGCCAGTTTTCCCAGCACCATTTATTAAATAGGGAATCCTTTCCCCATTTCTTGTTTTTGTCAGGTTTGTCAAAGATCAGATAGTTGTAGATATGTGTCATTATTTCTGAGGTCTCTGTTCTGTTCTATTGGTCTATATCTCTGTTTTGGTACCAGGACCATGCTGTTTTGCTTACTGTAGCCTTGTAGTATAGTTTGAAGTCAGGTAGCATGATGCCTCCAGCTTTGTTCTTTTGGCTTAGGATTGACTTGGCAATGCGAGCTCTTTTTTGGTTCCATATGAACTTTAAAGTAATTTTTTCCAATTCTGTGCAGAAAGTCATTGGTAGCTTGATGGGGATGGCATTGAATCTATAAATTACCTTGGGCAGTATGGCCATTTTCACGATATTGATTCTTCTTGCCCATGAGCATGGAATGTTCTTCCATTTGTTTGTATCCTCTTTTATTTCATTGTTCAGTGGTTTGTAGTTCTCCTTGAAGAGGTCCTTCACATCCCTTGTAAATTGGATTCCTAGGTATGTTATTCTCTTTGAAGAAATTGTGGATGAGAGTTCACTCATGATTTGGGTCTCTGTTTGTCTGTTATTGGTGTGTAAGAATGCTTGTGATTTTTGCACATTGATTTTGTATCCTGAGATTTTGCTGAAGTTGCTTATCAGCTTAAGGAGATTTTGGGCTGAGACGATGGGGTTTTCTAGAAGTCATCGGCAATCATGTCATCTGCAAACAGGGACAATTTGACTTCCTTTTTTCCTAATTGAATACCCTTTATTTCTTTCTCCTGCCTTATTTCCTGGCCAGAACTTCCAACACTATGTTGAATAGGAGTGGTGAGAGAGGGCATCCCTGTCTTGTGCCAGTTTTCAAAGGGAATGCTTCCAGTTTTTGCCCATTCAGTATGATATTGGCTGTGGGTTTGTCATAAATAGCTCTTATTATTTTGAGATACATCCCATCAATACCTAATTTATTGAGAGTTTTTAGCATGAAGGGCTGTTGAATTTTGTCAAAGGCCTTTTCTGCATCTATTGAGATAATCATGTGGTTTTTGTCTTTGGTTCTGTTTATATGCTGGATTACATTTACTGATTTGTGCATGTTAAACCAGCCTTGCATCCCAGGGATGAAGCCCACTTGATCATGGTGGATAAGCTTTTTGGTGTGCTGTTGGATTCGGTTTGCCAGTATTTTATTGAGGATTTTTGCATCGATGTTCATCAGGGATATTGGTCTAAAATTCTCTTTTTTTGCTGTGTCTCTGCCAGGCTTTGGTATCAGGATGATGCTAGCCTCATAAAATGAGTTAGGGAGGATTTCCTCTTTTTCTATTGATTGGAATAGTTTTAGAAGGAATGGTACCAGCTCCTCCTTGTACCTCTGGTAGAATTCAGCTGTGAATCTGTCTGGTCCTGGACTTTTTTTGGTTGGTAGGCTATTAATTATTGCCTCAATTTCAGAGCCTGTTATTGGTCTATTCAGGGATTCAACTTCTTCCTGGTTTAGTCTTGGGAGGGTGTACGTGTCGAGGAATTTATCCATTTCTTCTAGATTTTCTAGTTTATTTGCATAGAGGTGTTTATAGTATTCTCTGATGGTAGTTTGTATTTCTGTGGGATTGGTGGTGATATCCCCTTTATCATTTTTTATTGCATCTATTTGATTCTTCTGTCTTTTCTTCTTTATTAGTCTTGCTAGTGGTCTATCAATTTTGTTGATCTTTCAAAAACCCAGCTCCTGGATTCATTGATTTTTTGAAGGGTTTTTTGTGTCTCTATCTTCTTTAGTTCTGCTCTGATCTTAGTTATTTCTTGCCTTCTGCTAGCTTTTGAATGTGTTTGCTCTTGCTTCTGTAGTTCTTTTAATTGTGATGTTAGGGTGTCAATTTTGGATCTTTCCTGCTTTCTCTTGAGGGCATTTAGTGCTATAAATTTCCCTCTACACATGGCTTTGAATGTGTCCCAGAGATTCTGGTATGTTGTGTCTTTGTTCTCATTGGTTTCAAAGAACATCTTTATTTCTGCCTTCATTTCGTTATGTACCCAGTATTCATTCAGGAGCAGGTTGTCCAGTTTCCATGTAGTTGAGTGGTTTTGAGTGAGTTTCTTAATCCTGAGTTCTAGTTTGATTGCACTGTGGTCTGAGAGACAGTTTGTTGTAATTTCTGTTCTTTTACATTTGCTAAGGAGTGCTTTACTTCCACCTATGTGGTCAATTTTGGAATAGGTGTGGTGTGGTGCTGAAAAGAATGTATATTCTCTTGATTTGGGGTGGAGAGTTCTGTAGATGTCTATTAGGTCTGCTTGGTGCAGAGCTGAGTTCAATTCCTGGATATTCTTGTTAACTTTCAGTCTCGTTGATCTGTCTAATGTTGACAGTGGGGTGTTAAAGTCTCCCATTATTACTGTGTGGGAGTCTAAGTCTCTTTGTAGGTCTCTAAGGACTTGCTTTATGAATGTGGGTGCTCCTGTATTGGGTGCATATATATTTAGGATAGTTAGCTCTTCTTGTTGAATTGATCCCTTTACCACTATGTAATGGCCTTCTTTGTCTCTTTTGATCTTTGCTGATTTAAAGTCTGTTTTATCAGAGACTTGGAATGAAACCCCTGCCTTTTTTTGTTTTCCATTTGCTTCGTAGATCTTCCTCCATCCCTTTATTTTGAGCCTATGTGTGTCTCTGCATGTGAGATGGGTTTCCTGAATACAGCACACTGATGGGTCTTGACTCTTTATCCAATTTGCCAGTCTGTGTCTTTTAATTGGAGCATTTAGCCCATTTACATTTAAGGTTAATATTGTTATGTGTGAATTTGATCCTATCATTAGGATGTTAGCTGGTTGTTTTGCTCGTTAGTTGATGCAGTTTCTTCCTAGCCTTGATGGTCTTTACAATTTGGCATGTTTTTGCAGTGGCTGGTACCGGCTGTTCCTTTCCATGTTTAGTGCTTCCTTCAGGAGCTCTTGTAGGGCAGGCCTGGTGGTGACAAAATTTCTCAGCATTTGCTTGTCTGTAAAGTATTTTATTTCTCCTTCACTTATGAAGCTTAGTTTGGCTGGATATGAAATTCTGGGTTGAAAATTATTTTCTGTAAGAATGTTGAATATTGGCCCCCACTCTCTTCTGGCTTGTAGAGTTTCTGCCGAGAGATCAGCTATTAGTGTGATGGGCTTCCCTTTGTGGGTAACACGACCTTTCTCTCTGGCTGCCCTTAACATTTTTTCCTTCATTTCAACTTTGGTGAATCTGACAATTATGTGTCTTGGAGTTGCTCTTCTCAAGGAGTATCTTTGTGGCATTCTCTGTATTTCCTGAATTTGAATGTTGGCCTGCCTTGCTAGGTTGGGGAAGTTCTCCTGGATAATATCCTGTAGAGTGTTTTCCAACTTGGTTCCATTCTCCCCATTACTTTCAGGTACACCAATCAGACATAGATTTGGTCTTTTCACATAGTCCCATATTTCTTGGAGGCTTTGTTTGTTTCTTTTTATTCTTTTTTCTCTAAACTTCTCTTCTCACTTCATTTCATTCATTTGATCTTCCATCACTGATACCCTTTCTTCCAGTTGATCAAATCAGCTACTGAGGCTTGTGCATTCGTCACATAGTTCTTGTGCCGTGGTTTTCAGCTCCATCAGGTCCTTTAAGGACTTCTCTGCATTGGTTATTGTAGTTAGCCATTCATCTAATCTTTTTTCAAGGTTTTTAACTTCTTTGCCATGGGTTCGAACTTGCTCCTTTAGGTTGGAATAGTTTGATTGTCTGAAGCCTTCTTCTCTCAACTTGTCAAAGTCATTCTCCGTCCAGCTTTGTTCTGTTGCTGGTGAGGAGTTGCATTCCTTTGGAGGAGGAGAGGCGCTCTGATTTTTAGAATTTTCAGTTTTTCTGCTCTGTTTTTCCCCATCTTTGTGGTTTTATCTACCTTTGGTCTTTGATGATGGTGACATACAGATGGGGTTTTGTTGTGGATGTCCTTTCTGTTTGTTAGTTTTCCTTCTAACAATCAGGACCCTCAGCTGCAAGTCAGTTGGTGTTTGCTGGAGGTCCACTCCAGACCCTGTTTTCCTGAGTATCAGCAGTGGAGGCTGCAGAACAGTGGATACTGGTGAACAGCAAATGTTGCTGCCTGATCGTTCCTCTGGAAGTTTTGTCTGAGAGGAGTACCTGGCCGTGTGAGGTGTCAGTCTGCCCCTACTAGGGGGTGCCTCTCAGTTAGGCTACTCAGGGGTCAGGGACCCACTTGAGGAGGCAGTCTGTCTGTTCTCAGATCTCAAGCTCTGTGCTGGGAGAACCACTACTGTCTTCAAAGCTGTCAAACAGGGACATTTAAGTCTGCAGACGTTTCTGCTGCCTTTTGTTTGGCTATGCCCTGCCCCCAGAGGTGCAGTCTACAGAGGCAGGCAGGCCTCCTTGAGCTGTGGTGGGCTCCACCCAGTTCGAGCTTCCCAGCTGCTTTGTTTACCTACTCAAGCCTCAGCAATGGCAGGCGCCCCTCCCCCAGCCTCACTGCTGCCTTGCAGTTTGATCTCAGACTGCTGTGCTAGCAATGAGCGAGGCTCCATGGGTGTAGGACCCTCTGAGCCAGGCACGGGATACAATCTCCTGGTGTGCCGTTTGCTAAGACCGTTGGAAAAGTGCAGTATTAAGGTGGGAGTGACCTGATTTTCCAGGTGCGGTCTGTCACCCCTTTCCTTGGCTAGGAAAGGGAATTCCCTGACCCCTTGCACTTCCCGGGTGAGGTGATGCCTCGCCCTGCTTTGGCTCAAGTTTGGTGCGCTGCACCCACTGTCCTGCACCCACTCTCTGACAATCCCCAGTGAGATGAACCTGGTACCTCAGTTGGAAATGCAGAAATCATTCGTCTTCTGCATCGCTCAGGCTGGGAGCTGTACACTGGAGCAGTTCCTATTCGGCCATCTTGGCTCCAACCCCCAGAAGTCTTTATTTGGCCATATGTTTTAATTTCTCATAGGTTAAAAATCTAGGATTAGAATCACTGGGTACTAAGCCATTCTAAAAAAAGTACTAAGTGTATTTTTATTTATTAAAATTAAAAAAACCCTACCAGACTATTTTTTAAATTGGTTGTACGATTTTACACTCCCCAGTATTAATGGAGAAGAGTTCTATTTTCTGCACATCCTCGCCAACACATGCTATGTAGAGCCTTCATTAATTTTGGATATTTTAGTATGTGTGTAGTTGCAGCTCATTGTGGTTTTTAATTTGCATTTGCCTAATGACTAATGAAGTTGAGCATCTTTTTATATGGTTATTGATCATTCACATATCTACTTTTGTGAAGTGCCTGTTCAGATCTTTTGCATGAATTTTAATGGGTTACTTGGTCTTATTATTAATATTAAGAGATCTTTCTACATTTAGATATAAAACTCTTGTCAGCTATATATATTGCAAATATTTTCTCCAGCTCTGTAGTTTGCGTATTTATTTTTAATGGTGTCTTTTGCAGAGCACAAGTTTTCCATTTTGATGACATCTGATTTATCATTTCTTTTTTTTAATGGTTATTGTTGTTTATATCCTCTTTAAGAAACTTTTGCCTACCCCAAAGTTGCTCCTTCAATGTTTTCTTCTAGAGGTTTCAGAATTTTAGCTCTTCGATTGAAGTCTGTAATTCATTTTAATTCTTGTATGTGATGTGAGATAGGGTTTAAAGTTTATTTCTTTTCTTCATGTTGCTATCCATTTATTCTAGCACCATTTTTTGAAAGGGCTACCCCTACACCAATTGGATTTTCTTGGCATTATTATAAAAAGTCAATTGGCCATAGTTGTATTGATCTATTCCTGGATTCACTACTCTGTCCAGTTAATCTATATGCCATCCTTATGCCAGTACCACATTATCTTAATTACTGCAGTTTGAAAGTATGTCTTGAAGTCAAATTATGTAAGCTTTCTTTTTTCCTTTTTTTTTGTTTTTTTTTTTTCTGAGACAGAGTCTTGCTCTGTTACCAGGCTGGAGTGCAGTGGCACGATCTCGACTTACTGCAATCTGTGCCTTCCAGGTTCAAGTGATTCCCATGCCTCAGCCTCCCAAGTAGCTGGGACTACAGGCGCACACCAACATGCCTGGTGAATTTTTTTTTTTTTTGTATTTTTAGTAGAGACGGGGTTTCACCATGTGGGCCAGGTTAGTCTCGATCTCCTGACCTTGTGATCCACCCACCTCAGCCTCCCAAAGTGCTGGGATTACAGGCGTAAACCACTGTGCCTGGCCCAGATTATGTAAGCTTTCTATCTATGGTCCTCATCCTCAAAGTTATTTTGGCTATTCTAGGTCATTTTCATTTTATATATATTTTAGCATCAGCATGTTAATTTCTACCAAAAGTCTCTTGGGATTTTTATTAGGATAACATTAAATCTATACATCAATATTGGGAGAATTAAAATCTTAACAATATCTGCTCTCCATATAGTATGTCTTTACGGACCTACTATATTTCTCTGCTTATTTAGGTATCTTAAAATTTCTTTCAGCAGTGGTTTTTCAGTTTATAGAGAATAGGTCTTATTAGATTATCCTAAATCATGTATGTTTCAACGGTCCTGTAAGTTCTACTTTTAATTGCATTTGCCAATTTTTCATTGCTTGTATATGGAAATACAATTCATTTTTGTATATTGATCTTATATTTCATGACCTTGCTAAATTTACTTAATAGTAGCTGTTTTTTAAAGTAGATTCCTTAGAGTTTTCTTCAGAGTCTATCATGTTATCTGCACATCAGGAAAGTTTACCTCTCTATACCTAGTCAGTTTTGTGCCTATTGCATTCCTTACCTCATTTCCTGTGCTGCCCATGGTCCATTGTCTGAAAATAAATTTTAGATAGTTTGTCCAGATTCCTAACTGTTTACAACAGGAGGACAAATCTGGTACAGTAATTCATCAGAGCCAGAAGACAGAATTTCATGAGATCAATTTTAGCACAGCTTATTCCACCAAATCCTACTTTGTATACTTCATTTCCATTAAACAATATCATTAAAATGTCTTCATATCGTCAAAAAACTTCATAAAAACTTCCATTTAATAACTAGTATTCTATCATGTGAATATTTTGTAATCTATTCAATTCTTTATTATCAGACTATTAGGTTGTTTTCATGAGTTTGAATATTGCTGTAGCAAACCTTCTTATGTGCTCTCTTTGTGTTTCTGATACTTTTTACTTACTTTTGGAATAGTAATTCTCTCACTGTATTATAGGATTTTTGTGGGTTTCTCGAGGAGGAGAACAATGAATTACAACTCTTTACATCTGCCCGATGCCTAGCAGTCCAGGGAATATCAAAGAAACTCAGTAAATTTCCCATGAACAAATGGGACTTGGTGCTCCTTGCGAAGTGATTGACCTACACAGATGATGCCTTTTATGTTTGTAAGCTTGAACCTTTTCAAGACACACTTACGATCTTCACATTCCTGGGAGGTCAGAAAGTTGTATATCAGTTCTGCTATAAGATAGAAGAAACAAATACAGAGAGGTAGGAAGTCAGGCCAAGCAGCTAGTCCCTCGCAGTGACAGGACCAGGGTCTCAGTCACCTCTCTCCTATTCCTGTGCCTTTTCTACCTGCTCCTCTGGATTCTCTGAACCAAGGCAGCCACCCAGAGGTCTTTGGAATTTCTAGGCTCCAGTGCTGCATGCTGCTCTCCAAGTAAGAGCAGAACACAGTGAGCTTCCAAAGGCCTTCCTAGGACAGAGCTTTCCTCTGGGAACCTGGATTTAGGGGTTGGTCAGAGCCTTTTCGAGAGCCCATTGATGGTGATTAGTGGAAAGACTCCGGCTAGCCTTGAATATCTCCAGACCCACTATTTCCTGTCATGTTCCATTTGGCAGTGTGCCCAGATTTAATGGCATTCTACAAGGGCTATTTTATAAGTATGTGCTTTGAAATGTGCTTTAAAGAACATATTCTGAAGGAGAGCTTTCACATTGTCAGTGTTCCTGTACTTCACTGGCTGTAGAGACAATAAGGACACCTTTACATTTAAAGCTTAGTATCCAGAGGTTGATACCGTCCACCCATGTAACAGAGGGAGCTCAGACCACATTTCAAAATTCAACACATCTTTTAACAGAACTCTGCACTCAGGGTCCAGCTCTTATGCTCCTGGAACAGATTGTTCCAAGGTTGAATTCAGACCGCTGCCATTTCTTTGCTCCAGGCTAATCTTAAATGTTCCACCTGGGACACTGCTTGCTCCAGCACCACTCTTTGCTTATACTGAACCTGATGCCCTGATCCTTGGCTCACCTGTCCACCTGCCATCCTCTGCACCACCAGTTAATGCTGGGTTCACACTGTTGCTCAGTCTGGACTGTCCTTAACACTCTGCTGCCTGATCTCTGCCTCCGCTGCCAAGCCCCTTGCATTTGAGCTGCTACTGTTCCCCTCCAGGATGCCATTCTCTCCCCTGCGCCTCAACTGCGGGTATAGCTCAGTGCACTACCAACATTGGCGCATAATGTGCTTCCCCAAAGTTATCGGGAAATTATTCCTCTGCTGTAGAGTGGTTCAATAACATGTTGCTAGGCCCAAAAGTTGTGCAGAATATAGAAAGACAGCTTTACTGATCTTGCACCTATCCTGCTGTTTCTGTGACATGAATATGATCAGTGAGGAGTATCGTGTTCTTAAAACTCAGCTAACAACACCATGCAGTGGCCAGGACAGCATTTCCCTTCACTCTTTGGCCCTTACTATTTTTTTTTTCTTTTTTGAGTTAGAGTCTCGCTCTTGTCACCCAGGCTGGAGGGCAATGACGTGATCTCAGCTCACCGCAACCTCTACCTCCCAGGTTCAAGCAATTCTCCTGCCTCAGCCTCCCCAGTAGCTGGGATTACAGGGGCACACCACCACGCCTGGCTAATTTTTGCATTTTTAGAAGAGATGCGGTTTCACCACGCTGGCCAGGCAGGTCTCAAACTCCTGACCTCAAGTGATCCACCCACCTCGGCCTCCCAAAGTATTGGGATTATAGGCGTGAGCCACCATGTCTGGCCAGCCCTTACTATTAGTAGAATGTCTTTCTCAGGAGTTGTTCATTTGTCACTTATATTATTTCTTCTGTGGCTCTTCCCACACACACCACGCCAAGTCTTCATGCCTCCCTGTGTATGTGTGAACTGCAGTAGTGGACAAGTGTGAATTATTTTCCCAGGAAGTCCTTCAGTGTGCACATCAATCAATGAAAAAAAATAAACCTGGGGTGGGAGAAGAACAGAAAGGGTAACAGAAGTATCTGAATTCCAGTTTTGGTCTGGCCTTGATCTATACCATCCTATGAATTTTAGATGAAGTGTCACCTAAAATCCTAGCCCATTTATGGAAGTGTTTTGAGCTCTTAAATGTAGATCTTAGTGCTGTCTGTAATTAAACATCCTTTTAAGAGGATGTAATGATCTCTTGTAATGATCATAGCATTATCAGGACTAGAAGGTATCTTTAAGGTCAATTAATCCTGATACCAGTTTTTACTTATTCTAAGCTGGAATTCAATAATCCTAGAAAAAAGTTTGTGATTTCCTTGCCACCTGGCAGCCCCAGGTGTTTTCTTTTACTTACTAAACGCTCCATTTGGGGGGGTTTTCTTTTTTCTTTTTTCTTTTTTTTTTGAGACGGAGTTTCACTCTCATCGCCCAGGCTGGAGTGCAATGGTGCAATCTCGGCTCACTGCAGCCTCTGCCTCCCAGGTCCAAGTGATTCTCCTGTTTCAGCCTCCTGAGTAGCTGGGATTACAGGCATGCACCACCATGTCTGGCTAATTTTTGTATTTTTAGTAGAGACGGGGTTTCACCATGTTGGTCAGGCTGGTCTCGAACTCCTGACCTCAGGTGATCCGCTCGCCTTGGCCTCCCAAAGTACTGGGATTACAGGCGTGAGCCACCTTTGCCTGGCCCATATGGAGGCGTTTTATGTGCATTAGTTTGCTAGGGCGTAGCAAAATACCACCAACTGGGTGGCTTAAACAAGATAAATTTAGTTTCCTACAGTTCTGGAGGCTGGGAGTCCAAGACTGAGGTGGCAGCAGGGTTGATTTCCTGTGAGGCTGAGAGGGAAGGGTCTGCTCCAGGCTTGTCTCCATGGCTGGCAGGTGGCCACCCTCCCCGTGCCTCTTCTCATGGGGGTGCCTCTGAGCACACACTCTTCTAGACTCTCTTCCTCTTCTCATAAGGACACCAGTCATATGGGATTAGGGCCCCACCCTAATTTCCTCATTATAACTTAATTATCTCTTTAAAGACCTCACCTATAAACACAGTGGCATTCTGAGATACTGGGGTTGGGATGTCAACACAGGGGTTTGGTGGGGGTCTGGGGGAGCACAGTTGAGCCCAGGGCACATGACAGTATGTTTAGAGTCTCCTCGCTGTTCTGTTTTTTCTCTGCTAAAGATGCTCCTGTGAACTGTTTTGGGCGGGATATCTTAGACAAGAAGGATAGGTAATTTCAGTCACAGGTTTTATGTGAAAAGTTGTTGGTAGAGACTTCATTCCCCACAAGGTGGAGCCTTTCTTTTATTGTTTTCTTTTTTTTTTTTTTTTTTTGAGACGGAGTCTCGCTCTGTCGCCCAGGCTGGAGTGCAGTGGCGCAATCTCGGCTCACTGCAAGCTCCGCTTCCCGGGTTCACGCCATTCTCCTGCCTCAGCCTCCCGAGTAGCTGGGACTACAGGCGCCCGCCACCGCGCCCAGCTAATTTTTTGTATTTTTAGTAGAGACGGGGTTTCACCTTGTTTTCTTGCTCTTCCTTTTCCCCTCTGTGGGTGTGTGTGCGTGCGCACGTGTGTGTGCCTACACGCACATGCATCTCTATGTTACTTGGGCTTAAAGATGAGTCTCTCTCTTATTTGACACCAAGGGGAGATAGATAGCTGGCCTCTGCTTGCTTAGAGGCTCAAGCCTTTCAATGCAGCATTTATTTCTTGACTACTGGTTTTGCCAGGCACTATGCTGGACATGAGAGATGCATGAATAACTAAGAAACAGCTCTGCCCTCTAAGCTCATAAATTATGGACAATATACATATAAATACATATTTATAATGCATTGTTAAATGCAGCAACAGAACTGTGAGCCAACTACAGGGGTAGCACAGAGAAAGTGCAATCAATACGGAGCAGGCAGAGAAGAGTTTGCAGAGAAGGTGATTTCAGGTGTGGGTGTTGAAAGACAATTAGGAACCTGTGTGATGGATGCAGGGGCGCCTATGTGATGTATTTTGAGAATAACAGTATTTATGGATATAAATGAAAGATGAGGGGTAGCAGAAGTGATGATACTGCAGAGAAAGGGAGGAGCCAGGTCAGGATGTAGGCCATGCTTTTACTAGAGGGTTTTAAGCAAAGGAATAACCTAATCAGTTCTGTATTTGGAAGACAGCTTTTGTGACTACATGGAGATGGATGTAGGAAAATGACAGGGAGACCAGTTTAGGCTCTATTGCAATATCTTAAATAAGGGATAATGAGCAGCTCAATTAAAACCCTGGCAGTGGGAATTGAGAAGAAAGGGACATAATTGAAGAATATTTTGGACGTAATTTTGAAGGGACTTGGCAGCTGATTGAATATGGGATAGTGAGGGGAAGTAATCCCAGTTTCTGTCTTAGGTCCTGGTACCACCAGCTGAACATAGAAGACAGAAGAGGAGCAGCTTTAGGGGTGATGATGAATTCTGTTACACATGCTGACGTTATGGGTCTGTGGGAATCCCGGTAGGATGGCCAGTGGCACTTGAAGGAGAGATTGAGGCTTATATTAGGTTGTTGCAAAAGTAATTGCGGTTTTGCCATTGCAAGTAATGGCAAACACCGCAGTTACTTTTGCCTAATGTCTCTCACTGATTTCTCAGCTCAGACTTAACTTCTTGGAGATGCTAATTCTGGAAAAAGTGTTTCCTTGGAATTAATTTTGTAATGCCTATATAATAAAGCTATTATCACGTGGGTTAACAGTCCATTTGGTGCTGGGCTTATTTGTATTTGAAACTCAACAGATTTACAGGCAATTGCACTCCACAAAACTATTGTCTCGGGTAATGGAATGTTCCCATTGAACAGTTGAAACTCATTTTTAAAAAAACTCAGTGGTACTCATTATTGTCTATAATTGTTTTTTTCAAGTTCTTACTATTTTGTGGGGGTATTTCTCAGCACCCACTTTGCTACAATGCTAGCTCATATTAGCCCAGTAAATTCTTTTAATGCACACAAGCAACCTTCTATTTTCTTCCCTGGATGCTCCCAGGAAGATGACAGACATTCTTGCTGGTATCCTACTAATTACTAGAGCTAATCTATGGCTTTTAGTAACAGTCCTTCGTGTATACACTCTGCAAGATTATTTTGCCTTTGGAGAGAAAAACTTTTATATGATTTTTACCTTGATCTTTTTCAATAGGCCTCATGCCATGTTATAGAGCATACCTATACTCATGTTTAGTAATACTGGACATACAAACCATTTTTTTCTAATAGCATTAGATTACAACTAGCCTGTGTAACATCGATCTACTTTTATATTCTTTCTACTTACTGTGTATTGTCTCATTAATCTTCACGCTGGCCCTGTACAAGGGAGTAAGTGTCTTTTCCATTTGGAAATTGAACCAAAATGGAGTGCTCTTGATTTACTCAAGGACATACTTCAAATTTATATTGAAACAGAGCCCAGACTCCAGTTTCTTTTGTCTTCCCAATTCTGTTTGTATCTACTTCTTTTAAATTCCTCTACCATTTTTGGTTATTTTTAATCCACAAGAAGTATGTCTTACTCTTTAAATCTAGGTTTGGGAACTCCAGCAGCACCGTGATGTATTGCTAATTGAATTATCCTTTGGGGGCTCTGATTAAGCATCATTGTACTGCTGAATGTTAACATGCTATTTTAGACTTACATTTCAGATCATACTTGAACATTCTTCTTTATATTTTCTTCTGTCTCTTTTCTGTTTTTATGTGTCCTTTTTTCTCTTTTCTCTTGAAATCTCAAGGTATTTGGAGATTAAGAAAATAAAATAAAATATTCTCTTTTTACTCCTAATTTCTTCTTAAAAATAATCTTTAAGACTCAAATGATTTTACCATTTAAGAAGCGGTCACACCTTGGATACTTGTAAATTGTTCATTTGATGGGCTCCATAATCTGAAATTCATAGATGGAACACACGGATTTGATAAAGTAGAGACTGTTAACCAAGAAAAAGAAAATATTTTAGATTTTAAAATATAGAGTCTATTTAACTTTATTTTTTGTCAAAAATAGTTACAACTTTAGTCATTTGATCAAGTAAAATTACTGATAAATTTCGTTCAAGCCAAAGCGACTGCTGCATTTAACAGACTACACCAGTTCATAATTGAGAATATCAAGTAGAGAACATTATACTTTGACTCCAGGTTTACACAGCTGAAAGCAGTACTGCATTTTAATTCCAACAGCCTTGTGAACAAGAATATACTTTTACACAGCAATATGTAAGCAGTCCTTGCCCAGAATTTGGCTGCAGAGACAGACATTGTAGGATCATTCTAGGTTTCATCTGCAAACTCATAAGAATGATCAGCAGGGTTTGCCTTCTGCTCTATCGGCGCACCTTGACACTGAATCAGATGCCTGGTCATTCAGACATGTTCAAAGGCATCGAAGCAAACAAAGTGTGCTCCTTATTCATCAACCATCTGAGAATATCTTTAGAAATTGTGAGGTTATCAAGCCCATGCATCTTCAGTTTCTCAAAATCAATGATTCCACTGAGCCCCAAGTAGCTCCGTGGTGGGAAATGAGTGCAGACTCCATTTTCTGCTCTGTGAACAAGTCCAATTTAAATGCAAACACCTGCCCTTCCATGAACAAATCAGCAGTGCTTTCTTTTTCCACAGTTTTAAGTTCAATGTGCTTAGATATTTTTGCAACACCAAGTGAAATACATAATCTTGTGGGTTATTGAAATCGAACAGGGTGGTCTCCCAGAGTCCCTTAATTTAAAAAAGGATGGTCTGTGGAAGCAGCTTAGTCAATGTTTTCAGCAAGTTTCTATCACTTCACTGACTTAATTAAAGCAAATTGCTTTCAAATACTCCATAAACTGGGATAGCTAACAGTAGGAACATGAAGAAAAATCATAATCTTGGTTCTTCTCCAGCTCATTATGTAACAAACTTGATTGGCTTCAAAGTTCAGAACACATTTTGTTGTAGGAAATACTCTCACCAAAATAGTCATAGTTCATCTAAAACTCTGTTTTAGGAATCCAGCCAGTGTTGTCATTGTGTATTGTGTATGGATATCTAGTATTTACGGTACTTCTTTAAATTCTCCTCTGTCCCTTTTCTCTTTTTATATGTCCTTTTTTCTCTTTTCTCATAAAATCTCAAGGTATTTGGAGGTTAAGAAAATAAAATAAAACATGGATATCTAGTATTTACAGTACTAGATATAGAAGAACAACTAAACCTTGAGGGTCTAGCAAGGTGGATGATATATTTTAAACCCATTTCGCTCAGGAATTAACTTCCTAAGCACCAAAGTGAGTCAGTTATGGGCTTCCAAGACCTTCACTTCCTGCTGCCTCATAGGCAGCTGCAATGGGATTGGCTCCTCAGGAGTAGCCTAAATCTGAGGAAGGTCTCTTGTAAAATGGAAGGAGAAAAGGACATCCTAGAGTAACCAGCACTGATTTTTTTTCCAAAATTATTTCTTGCAGTCTGCAACAGAACAAGGTTTGGGGCTGGGGCAGAGATGGAGGAATTTGCAGGTTTAGGACAGGAACCGAGAGGTGTAAAGGGTAGGTGCAGCTGGAACAGGGAGGTGGCAGATGCTCTGACATAGCCCCCCTGGGAAGGAGTCTAAGGAGGTGAAAGGCAGACAGCCCAGGCCAGCTCCACCAGGGAGCCCTTGATAAGTTTAGTCCTATGTCATGTTGGTGCTTGGACTCTCTCACTGCTCAAAGAACCACTGTGGCCTGGAAGGGGATCTACAGTGTTTTTCGTGCCAGAGACCTGGCCACATTGTCTTGGACAAGGACTGGTGTTTGAGGAGCCCACTAACCTCAAAGGGGAGCGCCTGAGTCCCGCATTAGCGCTGCAGGATACAAGCAAGCGGAGCTGGGCTTCTGAGCACAGCTGAGATTCCTGGACACAGAAAGAAGACAGGGGCAGGAAAGGAAGATAAGTTTTTACTCGTTGGGTAAATGAAGGTAGACATGAGTTTTAATTTGAAAAGTAGAAGAATGCCATCTAGTTTTATCCATACCGAAGCTGGCAGAGCCAGTATATCAATTACATTTGCCTCTCCTTCATCACCACGAGTATTGATATTTGTAGTGTTAATAGTAATAATAGGAAGTATTATTCAGTATTAATAATTGAACACCTATTATGTGGCTAGACTCTAGTAGCTGATTACATTTTTCTTAATTCTTGTAACATTGCATGGTTGGTTTTATGATTCTTGTTCTACGAAGGCTTAGAGGTGGGAAAAATGAACTATCTTGCCTAAATCCACCCGGTTAAATAAGTGATGGCCCCACAATCCAAACCCAGGCCAGTAGGATTCTACAGCCTTTCCCAATTTTCTTTCTTTCTTTTTTTTCTTTCTTTCTTTCTTTCTTTCTTTTTTTTTTTTCTTTGAGACCGAGTGTCGCTCTGTCGCCCAAGCTGGAGTGCAGTGGTGCGATCTCGGCTCACTGCAAGCTCCGCCTCCGGGGTTCACGCCATTCTCCTGCCTCAGCCTCCCGAGTAGCTGGGAGTACAGGCGCCCGCACCACGCCCGGCTAATTTTTTTTGTATTTTTAGTAGAGACGGGGTTTAACTGTGTTAGCCAGGATGGTCTCGATCTCCTGACCTCGTGATCCGCCCGCCTCCGTCTCCCAGAGTGCCGGGATTACAGGCATGAGCCACCGCACCCGGCAGCCCCTCCCAATTTTCTTGGCACCCATCTGGTTTGCTTTTCCTGGTGCATCAAGCTGGATCGATACAGTATTTATCATGAAGGGAAATGATTTTACATGGGCGGATTGTGGGCTATAGCCTCAGATAAGCTTTGTTATCTGTATACTATGCTGGTGATTTTGCTTTGGGGAAGCAACTGTGACGTTATGAGTCCTGTTTTCAGCTCTTCTTCTCTGGACCTACACAGCAGTCTGTTCTGATTGTGCAGCCATAGTTCTAAGTGCTGGATGGGGATGCTGGCAGGGGTTCGTGCATGTTCCCTGGACAGCAAGATGTGTGGTGCAAAGAGCTTCTACACCTGGGCAACACAGCAAGACCCCATGTCTAAAAATTTTTTAAAAATTAGCTGGGCATAGTGGCTTGTGTCTGTAGTCCCAGCTACTCAGGAGGCTGAGGAGGGAGGATAACTTGAGTCTAGGAGTTCAAGGTTACAGTGAGTTATGACCACACCACTGCACCCCAGCCTGGGCCACAGAGCAAGACCCTATCGAAAACAAAGCTTTTACAAATACATGAGAAAAGACAACTCAATAGAATAATGGACCAAAATGTGAGAAGGTGAAATTCAGAATCCAGAGACCAATAAATACAAGTGGACAATAAATACTTGAAATGTTGCTGAACTCACACATTATTATGGCCATACAGATTAGAGAAACATCACGATTCTGTTTTATGTCTATCAGCTTATCAAAAAAGAAAAATGATTGGTAACATCTATGGTCAGCGTAGGGCAGGAAAGCATCCCCATTTGGGAGAATGTAGGCACAGCTTCTCTGGAGATCAATTTGGCATACCTACTAACTCTTTAAACATCTATACAAGCAATCCCACTTGTAGAAATGCACTTTCAAGATACGCTGATGCATATATTTTTAGGATATTTATTGTGGCATTGTTTAAAGTAGTAAACAAAGAGGCAATCCAGATGTCCATTTCCAGGGGGACTCTTAAGCAGTTTGCAGCTAATCAGTCTAGTGTGGCAGTTACGACTGTGGACTTTGGAACCAGACTGCCTGAGTCTGAATCACGGCTTCACTGCTCACTAGCTGTATGCTCTTGAGGAAGTTATTTTTCTTCTCATGTCTCAGTTTTTTCATCAGTAAAGGGGATAAGAAATAGTACCTATCTTATAGGGTTGTTGTGAGTCATGGTTGAGTTAAAATGTGTAAACCACGTGGAGCATGATGCATAGTAAGAATTATGGAAGTGTTTGCTGTGGTTGTTATTGCTATTATTATTTTGTGAAATACCATTGTCATCAAAGAAATTGATGGGAAAAAGTATATATATATGTGTGTGTATGTGTGTGTGTGTGCGTGTGTGTGTATGTGTGTGTGTGTATGTATTTACATATGCTGATATTGACCCAGAATAGTCCATCATAAAAACTGTTAAGTAAAGAGTAGAATGTTTCAGAACAATGTGTATGGTAAAATCTCAATTAGTATAATAAAAATTAAAATCATGTTTGTAAAGGTCTGCAGATATAGGCACAACACTGTCCACAGTAATTTAAGAAGTAAGTTATTTAATTAATTTGAGGAGTGAAATGTCAGTGAAAAGTAAAGAAAGGCTATTCTATTTTACTTTGCCCCCAAATTACTTGAATTTATTTACTACAAGCTTATCTCACTTTGCAATGAAAAAAATAAGGATAATTTACGTATCTGGCTGGCATATTATGAGGCTATTACATACAGTTTGTCTGTATATTAGGTGTTGATCTAACCATCATATTGGAAAGATTATCCAGCAGCTTCCAGCATAACTTAAAAATGGCTCTGTTCAAAATTAGGTTACAGCCCATCACAAATGCTTAAAGTCAATAAATCACTATGAAAACTACCATTTGGGGATGTGAGTTGTTTTGGAACTCAAAATACTTTGGCTATGTTAAAAGACCTTGTTATGAAAATAACAGATTTTCATTTCCTCTCTAATTTTATAACTCTTGGCACTCCAACTTTTGTTTTGCTGTGAAATGTTTGAGAAGGAAATGAGTGTACACACAGTTTTATTTTCCAAAATAAATACAATTTTAATTCTGCCAAGAGATTGTAGGGCTCTGTGACATAGAGATATTGCTTTGGGGGGCGGTTCTACTGGGGGCACAGTGGAAGGGGCTTTCTTCAGAGCTCTGAACTCACTCATGAGTACCTAAGTCACAGATAGACTGAAACAGCTTATAAACTCTCTAACAAAGGCCATTTTGGGATGGTGCTTCTCAGGGATGCTTGGGAACCATCGTTCAGTAGTAAGGACTCCCATGCACACACACCACCTGGTGGGCCCTCATGGTAACTTCAATGATTGTGTCTTAGGAACGCCGGTTCTGTTTAACTTGGATTTTCCCATCATTGCACAGTGTTGAGAGGTCAAGTTAATGAAGAAGATCATATTTCTGTATTCATAACTCTGCTAGCTCCATTTTCTAGTGATAAGGGAGGGGATGAGGTAATTGCCAAATTGCTATATTTGGTCAAGAAACGAGATTGCTACAGGAATTCTAAGAAGACTACTTTTATTCTTTTTGGAGGAGCAAAGGGACTCTTTGCTATAAAAACCACAAAGCCTTTCTTTTCTTGCTTGTACTTAAAATGTTGAGAAATTTAAGCAGTACAAAAGTGCACAGACTACTATAACCACTACCTTCAAGATATCCAGAATTGACAAGTGTTAACATTTGGTAACACTGAATATACATTACCATTTTTAACTAAAAAGAAACAAAACATTGCAGAGAAAGACAAAGTTTCTTTTAGTAAAAATAATTTATTTATTAAATTTTATTATAATTAACAAGTGAGAATTGTTACAATGTGATGTTTTGACATACGTATTTACATTGTGGGATGATTAAATTAAGCTACTTAACATATCCGTCACTTCACAGACTTACCTTTTTTATGGTGAGGACATTTAAAATAGATTATTCTCACAATTTTGAAATATATTATTGTTAACTATAGTCACTATGCTGTGCAATAGATCTTGAAAACTTATTCCTCCTAACTGAAACTTGTTAGCCTTTGAACTACATCTTCCTATTTCCCAACCCTCCCCACTCAGCCCTGGTAACCAGCGCTCTATTCTATTTCTATAAGTTCCACTTTTTTTTTTTTTTGAGATGGAGTCTCACTCTGTACCGCAGGCTGGAGTGCAGTGGCGCAATCTCAGCTCACTGCAACTTCCGCCTCCTGGGTTCAAGCGATTCTCCTGCCTCAGCCTCCCCAGTAACTGGAAGTGCAGGTGCATGCCATTGTGTCGGGCTAATTTTTGTGATTTTAATAGAGACAGGGTTTCACCATGTTGGCCAGGCTGGTCTCGAACTCCTTAACTCAAGTCATCTGCCCGCCTTGGCCTATCAAAGTGCTGGGATTACAGGTGTGAGCCGCCGCGCCCAGCCGAGCTCCACTTTTTATAAGTAAGAGCATGCAGCGTTTGTCTTTTTGTGCCTGGCTTCTTTCACTTAGCTTAATGTCGTACAGGTTCATCCATGTTGTTGCAAATGACAAGAATTTCCTTCTTTTTTAAGGCTGAATAGCATTCCTTTGTGTATATATACCACATTTTCTTTACCCATTAGATAAAGTCTCTTTTGAACCTGTCCCTAATTGCATGCCCGTACTAATTTCTCACTAGCAGTCACTATTATTAATCTGTTGAGTATCTTGATGGTCCGTTTTTCTACAGTTCTATTCAGTAAATATTACTGAATATCTCCTGTATGCCAGCGCTACACACCTAGGATACATCAGGCAACAAAACAAACAAAAATACTTCCCTTCATGAAGCTTACAGCCTAACAAGGGAAGACACATAATACTATTTTGCAATTATATGTTATATTAGAAAAGTGCTACAGAGAAAAAAGTAAAATTAGAGTAGGATGGGGGAATCAGAATTGTATGTGGGAGGTGGGCAGTATTCAGCATAAAATGAAGTGGCCAGGATAAGACTCTTTGACAAGATGTGATCTGAGCAAAGCCTTGAAGGAGGTAAAGGAATTAGCCAAGTGGTTTTCCAGAGGAAGAGCATCTGAGACTGGGTAAGGATGTGCCTGGCATTTCTGTTTTCTTTCCCTCCATGAGCCAGAGTCTTGCTCTGTTGCCTAGGCTAGAGTGCAGTGGCACGATCTCGGCTCACTGCAACCTCCGCCTCCCAGGTTCAAGCAATTCTCTGCCTCAGCCTCCCGAGTAGCTGGGATTACAGGCATCCGCCACCATGCCTGGCTAATTTTTTTTGTATTTTTAGTAGAGATGGGGTTTCGCCATCTTGGCCAGGCCAGTCTTGAACTCCTGACCTCATGATCCACCCGCCTCAGCCTCCCAAAGTGCTGGGATTACAGGCGTAGGCCACTGTGCCCGGCCGTGCCTGGCATTTGTGAAGAACAGCAGAGAGGCCAGTGTGGCTGCACTGGAGGGAACAAGTGTGAGAATAAAAGTAGAATAAATGGAAGAGGGGAGAGATTAGCAGCAGAGCCCAGGAAACAAGATCATGCAGAGCCTCCTGGGCCATTGTTAAAACTTTAGCTCTTGCCCTGAAATAAATGGGAAGCCATTGCAGAGTTTCAAGTAGACAAGTGACATGATCTGATTGCACGTTGTGTTTGAGAATCTACTATAGGTTATAAGGTGATAAGAGTATAATAAAGGAGACCAATTAGGAGTCCATGTAATAATCCAAAAGAAAGATCATGTTGGGCTGGATCAGACTGGTAATAGTGTGCAGGTGAGAAAGGTTCGGCTTCTGGATATATTTATGTATTTTGAGTGTAGAGTCCGAGTGATTTCCTGAGAGATTAAATTTGGAGTATCAGTGAAAGAAAGGAGTCAAGGAAGATTCTCTTTCCTTAATTGAGGTGAAATTCATGTAGCCTAAAATGAGCCATTTCAATGTACAATTCAGTGGCATTTGGTATGTTCGCGATGATGTGATCACTTCTATTTAGTTCTAAAACATTTTTGTCACCCCATAAGGAAACTCATACCCAGAAAGAGTCACCTGCCATTTTTTCCTTTTCCAAGCCTCTGGCAACCACAAAGATAATTTCTACTTCTGTAGATTTACATATTCTAGACATTGTATGTAAAGGGAATCACACAATATGTGACCTTTCGTGTCTGGCTTCTGTCACTTAGCATAATGTCTTCAAAGTCTATCATGTAGCATGTGTCAGCACTTCACTCCTCTTTAGGGTGGAGTGCTATTTCACTGTATGGATAGACACCATGTTGTGCTTCTCTATTCATTCATCGATGGACATTTGGGCTGTTTCCACTGCTGACCATGGTGATGGTATGATGATGAAAATGTATGTTTGTTTCAATCCTTGTTTTCAGTTCTTTGGGGTATATACCTAGAGTTGGAATTGCTGGATTACTTGGTATTTCTGTGTTTAACCTTTTGAGGAACTTCCAAACTGTTTCCACAGTGGCTGTACTATTTTATAGTCTCACCAGAATGAGAGAATGAGGGTTTCCTCACCACCTTTTGTTATTTTCTATTATGGTTTTAAATTTTTATTAGAGCCACCCTTGCAAGTTTGATTACAAAGCTTTTGGCCTACAAAAATAGAATTGCCGTAACTGAGGTAAGGAAAGCTATGTGCTAAATAGGGAAGAATGGGATGATCAGCGTTGAGTTTGGGCAGGGTGAGATGCCTCCTAAACATCCAGGTAGCACTGTTGAGTAGACATTGGAAAGATAAATAGATTTGGGCTGAAATATAATATAGGAGCCACTGGCACTTACTTGCCATTGAAATCCTTGGGACTAGGGGACAATAAAGGGCTCAAAGGTACTCCAAAATTAAGAGGTTGGGTCAAAAAGAAGGGACATGTGAAGTGGACAGAAAAACAAGAGAGTTGCATGTACTGAAAGGGCAAGTGAGAAAATTGTGTCAAGGAGGAGGAATGAATGACTACGTGAAGTGCTCCGAAAGATTAAGTAAGATTAAAATCGAGAATTGGGGTTTGGACTTGGCAGCGTGGAGGCCATGGGCAACCTTAATGTGAGCAATGTCAGTGGAGAGGTGGGGAATGGAGGTACTCGGTATAACTGAATGATAATGCTTTCCAGATATCGTCACACAGGGAAGGGAAGAAATGGGACAATGGCTGGTGGAGAATATGGGGAGAATGGAAGGCCTTTTTTGTTTCTTTTTTTTTAATATGGGAAAAATAATAGTATTCTGTATGCTAATGAGTGTGATCCAGCGTAGAGTAAGAAAATTGATTTTTTTTTCATAGAAGAGGGTATAATTGCCAAAGAGATGTCCTGAGTGTACACGAGGATGGGATACGGGTATAAGTAGAGGCACTGCCTTGAGATGGGAGTGTGGCCAGTTCATTCTTGGTCATAGATGGGAAGGCAGGTCCTAGATACTTACTCAGATGCTGGAAAGTGTGAAGAGAAGGCAGTGTGGTCTGTGGATGTGAAGTAAGAGGAAGACCTTAAGCTGAGGGTAAGAATGAGAGAGAAGGCGTTGGAAGTTTGGGGAGAGGTCAAGGAGTGTGAAATAACCCTTTGGGAGACTGGATGAATGAATGGAGTAGAGATAAGAAGCACGACTGCTTGGGAACATTAGGAGTCCGCTTGCGATGCAGCATGAATTTGGAGTTTGTTTTTCCCTAGTCTTGCTGGGCTGCACCAGTTCAGGAGTACAGAGTTGGAGGCATTGAAGGCTGGATGACAAGCAAGTGCAACAAAGCAGAAGGGGATGGGCATAGAGAGCATGGACAAGCGAGTGTCTCTACTGACTGGGTTTGATTTTAATCTGGATAAAGAGGAAAGAGACAATATCATGTGCTGTAGTGACATGGCACTGTGATCAATGGATTGCCAATCCTAATGGGGCCGAAAACTGGTTGAAGTTACAGTACCACAGACAGTGCGAGGAAAAGATATGAGCTCGTGGGAAGAGTGGGAGGCATGAGATTGACATTACAGAGCGTTCGCAGCTAGTGATAATGACACGGAAGTGAGTAGTGGAGGCAGCGTGGAGGAGAAGGGTATTGAAAGTGATGGTTTAAGGAAATGAAGCACCAGTGTGTTGGAAAGATCATCTACATATATGGTGACATTTTTAGAATTAAGGCACAAGTAATGTTGGAGACAGTGACAGTGAGAAAAAAGGAATTGACTCAGGAATCAGTGGATAATGGTGCCACTGAGGAGTATTGGATGATCTAGTCTGATGACAACAGGAACTTCTTTTGGGAGAAGAAAGGGAGAATGAATGGTCTCAAAGTGGCAGTGAGGAACAGTGAGGTTATCTATGCAGACCTCCTCATCTGGTGGCACAAGGTCTAAGGGAGAAAACACAGCCTCCCCTGGAGAGGGTTACAGTCCAGGCAATGGCTCCAGGGGAGAGTCATTTTTCTTCCTTTTTTCTTTTTTTTTTTATTTCAACTTTTATTTTAGATACAGGGGGGTCCATGTGCAGATTTTTTACATGGGATGCTGAGGTTTGGAGTATGGATCCCGTCACCCAGGCGGTGAGCATAAGTAGTTTTTCAACCCACGCCCGTTCCTCCCTCCCCACTCTAGCAGTCCCCAGTGGCTCTTGTTCCCATGTTTTATGTTGAGGTGTGCTCAGTGTTTAGCTCCCACTTAGAAGTGGTTTTCTGTTCCTGTGTTAATTCCTCTAGGATTATGGCTTCTAACTGCATCCATGTCCCTGCAAAGGACATGATTTTATTCTTTTTTATGGTTGCATAGTATTCCATGGTGTATATGTGCCACATTTTCTGTATCCAGTCTACCATTGATGGGCATTTACATTGATTTCATGTCTTTGCTATTGTGAATAGTGCTGTGAGGAACATATGAGCGCATGTGTCTTTTTGGTCAACACATGCATTAGTCTTGGCAAAGAATTTTTGGCAAAGCCCTCAAAAGCAATTGCAACAAAAACAAAAATGGACAAGTGGGACCTAATTAAATGAAAGAGTTTCTGCACAGTAAAAGAAACTGTCAACAGAGCAAACATACAGCTCTGTATGATAGGAGAAGATATTTGTAAACTATGCATTTAACAAAGGCCCAAAATCCAGAATCTGTTGAGAACTTAAATAAATCAATAAGCAAAAAACAAATAAACCCACTAAAAATGGGCAAAGGACATGAACTGACACTTCTCAAAAGACAAACATGGAAAAATGCTTAGCGTCTCTAATCATCAGAGAAATGCAAATCAAAACCACAACCAGATACCATCTCACACCAGTCAGAATGACTATTACTAAGAAGTCAAAAAACAACAGATGCTGGCAAGGCTGGGGAGAAAGGGAATGCTTATACACTGTTGGTTGGAATATAAGTTAGTTCAGCCACCGTGGGAAGCAGCCTGGCGATTTCTCAAAGAGCTTAAAACAGAGCTACCATTCAACCCAGCAATCCCATTAGTGGGTATATACCCGAAGGAAGATAAATCACTCTATTGATTTTCCATTAGAATAAAGAGGAGTAGGACAGGTTGAGAAATATATATTAATGGACAAATTATTTATTGTATGTATGTGACTTTTTAAAAATAAAAGGCAATGTGGTATTTGAAATCAAATTATTAACATGATTGCAATCCCTTCCTGAACATATGACCTGTGACTTAGAGAACCAGCTACGGCATACTATAATACACCTCCAACAGAGTCCCAGCACATAAAAGGCCTTCAACTGTGTGTTGAATAAATCAATATAAAATATCACTATGCCAGGTTGAGATCAAGGGGGATATGGCAGAGACTTAGAATTTCTAAGAAAATGGGATGTTCCCTGTCAGGGTTCTATTCTATTCAACAAACTACTTATTGAGAACTGAGTACTGGCTATGTGCTGATATTGAACAGGACAGATAAAGTCCCTGCTCTTTTTTGAGACAGTCTCCCTCTGTCACCCAGGCTGGAGTGCACTGGCGCGATCTTGGCTCACTGCAACCTCTGCCTCCTGGGTTCAAGTGATTCTCCTGCCTCAGCCTCTTGAGTACCTGGGACTACAGGTGCATGCCACCACATCTGGCTAAGTTTTTGTATTTTTAGTAGAGATGGGGTTTCACCACCTTGCCCAGGCTGGTCTGGAACTCCTGACCTCAGGTGATCCACTCACCTTGGCCTCACAAAGTTCTGGGATTACAAACATGAGCCACCGTGCCTGGCCTCTGCTTTTTTTTTTTAATGGAGCTTAAATTTAAATGAGTATAATTCATGGACATAAGACTAGATTTTTAAATGAAGAGACTTGTGCATGATTGGGATATTTTGGCACTATATTCCCAAATATTACTGAAAATTTTATTCAGAAGTGTGCTCATTCTTATGTGTAACTAGACCTTTTCACAGCCCCATTACACTTGGGGATGTGTGTGTATGTGTGTGTATGTATGTATGTGTTGTTTGTGTGTCTGTATAGGGAGGAGCAGAAGGCAGTAGATAGAGAGGAAGAGTATGATGTCTTTATTATCTTCTTCCTTCCTCCTTTCATTCTCAAATCAAGTTTGAAAGCCTAGAGTGTTGAACATGGGACTATAAGAAATTATGAAGTTTGACCTTCTGATTTTGTAATTCACTAATCCTATTGCGGGATCTGGCCAGCAGCCCGCAATGCAACGGGGCTCTCTCTTTGTTCCTAGGTGGATCGGCAGGTTGAGAAATAATAGACACACACAAGATAGTGAGAGCTGGGTCCAGGGGGGTCACCACCTCTGGTCCCGTGGTGCCAACAATGCACTGGATATACCAGCATCTATGATTAAGTTTAGTGAGGGCGGGGGTAGGTTAGTGAGGGATTTAGGGTCATTTGATTATGAGGTGAGATGGTCACATGGGGATGAAGTAATTCTTTAACATAACATTTTATGTAGAAGTACAGTATACAGAGATAAGAATTTACAATATAGTGTGTGTGTCAGTAATTTCTAACAGAGCCTTAGAACAGAAACACAGTCTTTCCATAACCTATGATTAGCAAGATATTAATCAGCAGTAACAATTGCAACAAAAGCTGGTTACAAACAATCCAGGGAAACAGGACATGAAGCTAGACAACTGGTTAGACCAGAAATTCTCGGAAGGGAGTATGCTTTAACCCTAAAGAGACCTAGAAGAGCCGCGGCAAGATGAGGGCGTTTATAGCCCTATCTTATCCATATGGACAGGCGCCCCCCATGCATCCCTTTATAGGCTTTCCACAAGAGTCACATTCCATTCCCAGAGCTATGAACATCTGCTTTTCTGGGATAGGAATCTTGGTGATGTGAAACCTCCCTGACTGCACTTCCACTCATAGGCTCTCTGTAGGGGGAAGCACATCACGCGCTGTTGGCTCGTTCTGGCAGTCCAACCTGGAATTGTCTTTACACAATCCTGCGTGCAATTTTGTATTTACAATAATCAGAAGCATTTCATCTTTTATTCCATAGCAATAGTTTCAGGGGGTCTCCCTACGTCTCCCCCTTTTCTCTGATTTAAATGAACCATAGCAATCATAGCTTGGCGCTGATCACAATTGGATTGAAGAATATTTTTTCCAATTTTACACATGAACAATAAACCAGTAGCACAAATTATACACAGAACAAAATTAACGATAGTGGATCCTCCCAAAGATTTTACCCATTGAATGGGGTTAAGATTAGATAACCCCTCAGAGATACCGTCTAAAACTTCAGCATCGGGTAAAGCAGGTAAGTGTGCTTGAGAGGCCTCAAAAATCTGTTCTTTTAGCTTGCTTATGTCTAAACTTAAATTATCTTCACTTCCTTGTAAATGGCGTTTTACTGATTCCCAATTGTGAACAGACTTATTATATTGAAACGGAGTTATACAAAAATTAGAAGTATTCCAATCACATTGCATTTGTAATCTATGTTCTAAACTCATGATTCTATCTCCCATCCATGTAACAGTTTGTCTTAGATCATTAATTTGATTAGTCAATTTTTGATCAATACTTGACTGAGAATTCCACATCCGAGTAGAATTTTTTTGCCATTTATCCACAAAATGAACAGTTTGAATAGACTGATGTAATGCAACTCCAGCAGTAGCAGCAGTCGCAGTAATAGCAATGAAGCCCATTATTATTGCAATTAATGTAAAAATAAATCATTTACTCGTTTTAAGAATTTTCTGTAGAATATTGTTAATAACATGGATAGAAGGGAAAGATTCCCAAGGCCTGTGTAAGGCTACGGGGAGCCAAATACCGTCTCTGGCTCTGACTATTAAAATACTATGATATTGATTAAAGGATGAGTCAATACAAGTATACAAGTAACAATTAACACAGGTAATTATGTTAGTTTTTGAACTAATATGCATCTTTCCTACTAATAACATATATGGTGGTTTAACACAACTTTTAAGTGGTATAGTTTTGTTGGACTCCATATAGATAGTATACATATTTTGAGGTGACAAGGTGGATTTACTTATAACACTTTCTCCAGCCCAAACTCTCATACCAGTCATAGCTATTGTTAATCTCCATAATTCTGAATGTTCAGGTCCTAAGTGGGGAACAATGAGCCTTGGCTTTGGAGGGGCAACCCCTGCCCCTTTCCACTTAAGAGGAAAAAAGGAGTTAAATGTACAATATAATAGGGGAGGGTTGTCACTACTTTTTTGATAAGTAATATTATAGAGAAAATGTTGGCAATCTTTGTGACCTTGAGAGCAATCATTAGTAATATGACCTTTGGGAGCCAAATCAACAATGGTGTAGTGAGAAGAATTAAATAACACAGTTCCTTCTGAGCTAACACAATCTTTCCATATTAATTTGTCAGCATTTGAAGACAAGTTGAGAGGACATGCAGGTCCTAAAGGCTTATATTGGAATGTGTGAATATAATCAGTGATTCCTGTTTTGATTTGCCTCAGAGGTTTTAATGAGAGCCCCGATACCATGTGTCCTAAAGGAGGGACAGAGTGACCAGACAGTAGTGTGACAGCCCAAGTTTGAATATCTAATGAGAGACATCCATTAGTGGGTCCCAGGCACAAAGGTCGATACCTAAAACCTAAAGTGATATTGAAAGGGGTTCCTTCTTCTGAAGGTTGGTCAGGACAACGATCATCTACAGAACCAGGCATCCAAATACTGTCATTAACATAGACCTCGATAGGAGCGTCCATCCCTGTCATGGCTTGAATAAGAGGAGGAAAAGGAATATAGGCCCAATATGTATAGTTTTTAACAGTCTGTGGAGTGACAGAGGGTAGAAGGATCAGTGTAACCAGGAGGAGGCAGAGGTTGAGCCGGACCTGGATCGCTGGAGACAAGTTGTTCAGGATGTCTGACTGGATTGTCTGTTGTAAAGGAGTTAGCGTGGTCATTTTCTTCTTTTTGATGATTGGGTGTGTTAGTTGTTTCTTGCTGTGGTGCTTTTTCAGCAAATTTCTCTGTCTTGTTGTTGCATGCATTTTCAGGACACAATTTTAGGTGTCTAGCAGGAATCCAAACAGGAGATTGACGTTCACCTGGGGAAACACAAGCATAACCTCTTCCCCACGTTAAAATAGAAACTTTTGACCATATATTAGATCTTTCCACCATACTTCTCTTCCTCGGTTTACTGTAGGATGGTTACCAAAGAAATGTTTTTCGGCAGCAGTAACAGAACTAGATTTAGGAATATTAAGAAAATTTAACGTGAGCAATGCCAGTTTAGTTGTATGTGAGGGGTAGACAACTCCTTATCCCCCTCTTTTTGTTTAAGTAATTGTAATTTTGAAGTTCTCTTACTTCTTTCTACAATAGCTTGGGCTTGTGGGCTCTAAGGAATACCAGTAATATGTTTAATATGCCACTGATCAAGCAAATTTTTAAAAGCTTTACTACAATAGGCTGGACCATTGTCTGTTTCGAGTTCACTAGGAATTCCCATCACCACAAAACATGAAAACATATGTTTTTTAACATGAGACGTGGCTTCTCCGGTTTGACAGGGAGCCCAGAGACCCCCTGGATAAGTGGATGATGGAATTTATTTAGAGAAACAGAATAAGCGAGAGTGTTCTCGGCAGCTTTTGTCATGTTTTATCATAGAGATTTTCCTTTTTGCAAAGCTAGAGACATTCTTGTTTTCCCATTCAACTGCGCATATGGAAGGAATTAGGAAATAGTGTTACGGACGCAGTGTCGGGCGGGGATTTTGGTAACCTGAAGAGCACTCACTCCTTCTGAAAAGAAAGCTGCTTCTGGACTCCAGGTCTGTGTTCCAGCGTGGAAATGCAGTCTCACAGGGGCCAGATCTTCTGATGTTTCAAAAGAAATCAGAAAACTAGATTTTAATGAAGTCCTCCCCACCTTTTGTTCACAACACAGCAGAAGCCAATATTCATCCCTCAGGTGGCCAGTTTGCAGTCTCTGATATAGACCATCACCAAACAAATGATACCTTTTATAATGCCTAATATCAATCATGGACAGCTCACACAGTAATTCTAAATATGCAAACTTGCTTGCTGACTTGCGCACTCAGCCTGCAGGTGTTTCAGTCACTTTAAATCTAAACAGATTTTATTTTCTTTTTAGAGTTCTTTAGGGCAGCACTGTCCAGTAGAAAGTTCTGCAATGATGGGCATGTTCTAAATGTGTGCCTTTCAGTCCAGTCGCCACCAGCCACATGGGACTCTTGAGCATTCGAGATGTGGCTAGTGTGACTAAGGAACTGGATCTTAAATTTTATTTAATCTGAATTAATTAAAACTTTGTAAATCGTCACCTGTAGCCAGTGGCTAGCAAGCCTTATCTGAAGGTCTCTACCATTCTCATCCCCTCAGAAACCCAGCTCAGAGTCACTGAATGGAACCAAACTAATGCATGCTTTTGATTGCAAGGCGGAGTAAGGAGGGGAGGGAACAGATCCACTCCAACCTTGGTTGGGGTCAGGAGAAAATTCCATGTACCTAAATATATGAAGCTTATAAATCAAGCTGACACACTCTTAAATAAAATATGTTCCCATCCTTCTACCTGTGAAGTATTTCTTTGTAATGTCCTGGAAGGACAGGTTCAAATTTAGAATTCCTGGACTCCTAGGTCTCTGCCCTGGGGCACAGTGGCATGGGGGGAGCTGGCCCTTCTGTCCCCACCCCGGCTCTATCCCGCACCACAACTGGTGTAGCACACCTGCCTGGACAGAGTGGAACTTTACATAACTGCGGTTCAAGGACCATCTTTGGGACACTTCTGTTGATCAGATCTCTTTTCTCCCTCATGGCTGTAGCTGCATTTGACTTTAAGACACCTTACACAGCCTTGTAGAAATGCCATATAAAGTGAGCTCCTGTATTGATTTGGGCATGAAGCTCCCTTCTGGGACAAGTGCTATGTCTGATTGATGCCTTCTGGGAGTCCATATAAGCGCCTACTTCATTGCCTACAAATTGAAGGATAATCACTTTTCTAAACAGGCTTGCACTGAATTCTTCAGAGGCAAATTAGAACTGAACCTGGCTGCTGCCTTTAAGGTGTGTAAGACCTGAAACAAGGAATGGGTACAGGTGTGACTTTGGTCAAAGGTTAATAAGGAGATTTCACTTCATTAAGCTGCTTGTTTCACCATCACTAAATCTCTTTGGCAACCTGCCTCAGAAGACTTCTTACTTGGGACGGTCCTTTATGTCAAAAAAATTGGGGCGTAGAAGATAAATTACAGGTTGCTTTTAATTCAGGTATAAATCAATCCAGTGAGCTCCATGTGATGAAAGTCATTAGTTAAAAAATCAAGTATCTTAATGCTTAGAATTTGCATCTGGATTATCTTCATCTAAATAAAGCCTTTCAAATGATTTGCAAATTCTGGCATTAAAATAGGTAAAAGAGAATAAACATAACAGTCACACTCCATGCACACATAGATGTATGTGAAAAACTTGAGCAGTTTGAGTTGGAGGGCAGCTTCTGAAGCTTATTTTGAACAACTGATTGATCACATTCGTTTCTGCTGGGAGGCATTTACGCCCGTATTTTTAACAGGTGATTAAAAAGTCATTTCTCCACTTGGAGAAAAAGCTGGAGAACTATACCCTGATTGTGCTGGGGCTCCCTCCTGTGGTAAAAAAGAAGAACAGGCACATACATAATTCCTGACAGCTGAAGAAAAGAAATAGATGGTCCCAGGGATAGAACCGGAAAGGGTAAACTGTGACGATCTGCAAAGATTCAGGGCATCCGGTCAGCTCTCTCTGTAATTCAGGCTTGTCTGGGAAACAAACTTCAAGCTTTCTGTTAGATATGTTAGACCCTGGAACACACTCTGATCTACAATGGCTGCTACCCTACTTAAGGGCACTCACATTTTACCACTCTCTCCTTAATTTCCTTTCTATTACAGCCACTTTTCAGCGTTAGAAACTCTTTTATGATTTCGTAGTTCATAATACCTTAATAGAAATTAATGTAAACATTTTACAGATGAAATATGTTTTCCCCTGTGTCTCTTTTCATATATGCAAATGCTTAGCAATCTTGGGTGGTTTTAGAAAGTGATGGTTTCTTTTTCTCAGTGCCTTGACCTCATTTTTTTCTTTTTTTTTCCTCTGCCAACATCAATTTAAGTCTATTGAAACAGAAACCTTTGAAACAGTATTAGAAGCTGAAAGCCATCCCTACATGCTTTATGACTGTTAGACTGAGTGGGTTTGCTTGAGATTAAATTTGCCTTTTTTTTTTTTTTGACACGGAGTCTTGCTGTGTTGCCCAGGCTAGAGTGCAATGCATGATCTCGGCTCACTGCAGCCTCTGCCTCCCAGGTTCAAGCGATTCTCCTGCCTCAGCTTCTCGAGTAGCTGGGATTACAGGTGACCGCCACCACACCTGGCGAATATTTTTGTACTTTTAGTAGAGACAGGGGTCTCACCATGCTGACCAGGCTGGTCTCAAACTCCTGACCTCAAGTGATCTGCCCACCTTGGCCTCCCAAAGTGCTGAGATTACAGGCATGAGCCACCGCAGCCAGCCTGAAGTTAAATTTGAAAGTATCATCTTGTCCATGTGACTCTTTTAAAGGGTCTCTAATCACCAGCGCACGTTGAGCTCTCCTAGCCCTGCTGCCTGAATTAGCTGCAACTGTGAGGCTGAGAAGGAGTGGGTGAGGCTAAACATATCCAATGGCCAGGCAAAAATACATAGGTAGTACAGGAAGATAGGACTAGGGGTTAAAACTGGTGTTGGGAGAGACAAAGAAAGATAAGCAGTTCACAACACTTTTCTTGTTTCTTTTATGAGAGAGGGGTGGACAGGTGTCATTCTGCAGCTATGGGATAAGTAGGAGCCTATGTCTCTGCATTTTCTCTAAATTCTATCCTAAAGGGGAGCCCTACATTGTGATAGTAGGGAGTGGGTGTCGCAGTGGCCATAGGGAGCTTCCAATCTCTAGGGACTACCTTTTTGGAATGGCAGGTACACTTTTCGTGAATGCAGGATGAGCATTTGAAAATTTTGAACAGGCAAATAATGAATACACTGTGTAGGGAGGTAATGATGTCTTGTTGGGCTTCTCAAAAACATTTCAAAGATCTTCTAAGGGTACAATAAAAATTTCATTAAAAAGATAAAATGCATTTGCTCATAAGAAAACACTAAATGAAATAGGTATTACTTATATGCATTTTGTCTTAGCCTATTTAGGCTGCTATAACAAAATGACCATAAACTAGGTAGCTTACAAACAAAGAAACTTATTTCTCCCGATTCTGGAGGCTGGAAAGTCCCAGATCAAGTCACTGGCAGATTTGATGCCTGGAGGACCTGCTTCCTGGTTCCTAGATGGTGCCTTCTCCCTGTGTCCTCACCTGGGGGAAGGGCAAGCAATCTCCCTTAGTCATGTTTGATAAAAGTACTAATCCCGTTCATGAGGGCTCCTCTCTCTTGATCTTGTCACCTTCTAAAAACACCACCTCCTAACACCATCGAGCTGGGGATTAGGTTTCAACATACGAATGTGGAGGGGGCCACAAACATTCTGACAATCGTGAAATTTGTAAAGGGATTTCTTTTTCCTTTGTCTTTTTCCTTTCACCTTTCCATGTTCAGAAGAGTGGGAATAGCCTTCCGCTGAGCATTTTACCTGCTTGGTCTCAGACTTTTCACTGTTGTACCTGGATTTTTAGTTGTTAGGGGTGTGTGGGAAGATAGGACCTAGGGGGTGCAGAGGAAAGGACTGGCTTTCCGGATGTCCACATCAGGGGTGGGGGGCAGGGTCTGGTTCGGCCACCCAGGCTGGTGTGCAGTGGCGCAATCTCAGCTCAGTGCAACCTCTGCCTCCTGGGCTCAAGCCATCTGCCCATCTCAGCCTCCTGAGTAACTGGGACTGCAGACACACGCCATTACACAAAGCTAATTTTTTTATTTTTTGTAGAGATGGAGTTTCACCGTGTTGCCTAGGCTGGTCTGGAACTCCTGGGCTCAAGCGATCCACCCGCCTCAGCTTCCTAAAGTGCTAGGATTATAGGCGTGAGTCATCGTGCCCAGCCTGGATGTCCACGTTTTTTAATGAAGGTATACGAACTACTATTTTATAGAAAAGTCCAAGTTTTTTCCTGCTTCTCACTCTCCAGAACTTCCTAACTTTCTTGCTGATGGTTTGTGAGGCCAGGTATCAGTGAGGTGATTGTAATTCAGTGTGTTCTGACAAGATCAAGCTGAAAAGTGTAACAATTTTGATAATAAAAGTGCCAAACAATTTTTCATATCACTAGAATCCTGGTTGACTCAACAGGCAGATGATTATTCAGAAATCCTTCCTCCTAGTCCCTTGTTGTTTCCACTAGGTTAACTTATTTGAAAAAAAAAAGTCCAAAATGCCAGTACACTGTATGAACATTTTTCATTGCCGAAAAAGCACTGATTCTACATCTGCTTAGATTTGTGCAGGGCCCTGACACAGACATAAGGATGGTGCGCCCCCGTGATTAATGTACTTCTAGCCTTCAGCTTGCCATTCAGCCCTGTTGGGAGGGTCAAGGGAGATGGCGCAGACATTGAGGACTGAGCCGAAGCCCCCGTGGGGACAACAATAAAAACCATCCCTGGAATGGAGTGTCTTGTGTGCAAAGGCCTGGAGGTATTGGTGAGCACGGTGACTTGAGGATACTGCAAGGAGTTCTTTGTGACTGAAGTATAAGGTACTAGCAGGAGCATGGTGGGAGAGGAAACTTTAAGGAGGTCTTTCATGAAGGACCTTAAATACCATGGAGAGTAGTCTCGGTTTTACCTTACAGCCAGTAGGTTGCCATTCAAGAATTTTAGACTGGGCGCGGTGGCTCAAGCCTGTAATCCTAGCACGATGGGAGGCTGAGGCAGGTGGATCACCTGAGCTCAGGAGTTCGAGACCAGCCTGGGCAACACGGTGAAGCCCTGTCTCTACGAAAATACAAAAAATTAGCCAGGCATGGCAGCGTGCACCTGTAATCCCAGCTGCTTGGGAGGCTGAGACAGGAGAATCACTCGACCCTGGGTGGCGGAAGTTGCACTGAGCCATGATCGTGTCATTGCACTCCAGCCTGGGCAACAAAGCAACACTCCTCTCAAAAAAAAAAAAAAAAAAAGAATTTGATACAGGAATAACATGTTTACAATCTGGCTAGATGGTAAGATACCTAAAAATAAACAATAAAATAACCAGTGGCATCCAAGAAGTGTCTGAAGACAATGTATGATTCAATGTTAAATGCTTAGGACAGTGTTGAGTGACAGTCATAGAGAAGATAAATTGCTGTAAGTTGAGGATGTCAGGGAACTCTTTCTGAAGGAGGAAAGAATAACGCTGCACCTTGCAGAACAGGTAGAAGAAAGGGAGACGCTTCATTGATGCTGCGGTAGGGGATTTCTTGTGCACAGATATAAGGCTAATGGAAAAAAGCAGACAATGCTTTTTTTCCTGGTCACACTGCAGTAGATGTTGCCGCCTCTTCCCATGAGAGGAGAAGGATAAGTGGGCATGGCCCAAGGTAGAGTCAAAACGATGTGGCTGAGTGTTTCTAGAGAAAGGACCTCAGGATGGGATGATGAACTGAGAATCCACGTTAGGCAATGTTGGCTTATTCCAGCTTGGGGACAGGTGTTAAACACTCCAGAGTTTCAGAGTATTCACTTACTGAATTCATGTAACCCCTTAAAGGGGTGTCTAGAACCTACTCAATGCAAGCATTGAGCTACATCTTGGCCAGATGTCTCTCATGTGGGCACCTAATTTGCCTGCCATATTGGCTTCTCTATCCTAAAAGACTTTTTCCAGAGGGTGTGAAAATGTGTGTGTTTTTCTGGGACTCTGTTGATTCACAGCTACTCCTTGATGCCATCGAGCCTGATAAATGCCATGGACTCTTCTAAGAAATCAGAACCCTAGGCCATCAGCACAAATTATATTCCTGGGGATGAATTTGCTCTAGAACAAGTATTTAGCTTTGCTGGAGGTTATTCCAGCCCTTTCTAGGCCTAACCATACAAGAAGATGTGAATTTTTCCTTTTTGATGAGAGGAAAAGCAGTAAAAAAAGGAACCCAACCCAAGCCTGGAACAAATCAGGCTCCAAGCAAAAGGAATTCTACCAATTTGTGGGACTTTGCCAACATTTCCAACAGTAATGGGAAATCAATGTATTAACTCAGCTAGTAAATATTCTAGAGTGGAATAGATGCTGCCTGGAGGATGCAGATTTGAACAAAAGAAGCATGGCACCTGCCCTCCTGCAATTTACAGGTGGCGAAGGAAAGGCAAGTAAACAATTTGGCAATCAACAGATGTTTTTGCTTATGTGTACTATTATTCTAAAGAGTCCTGTCTGAGCTTTGGATGAGGTTCAGCTGCTGCTGTGTGCCAGCTGTGTGATTGAATTCTTCTGAGATAAATTTTTAAACGATAAAACGTGGCCAAAGTGCAGGAAAAGCAAAGAGCCCCGTGGTTTCATATAAGTGAGCAGCACAGGCTAGATTTAAAGCATCTGAGAAGCCATGGTCCCTGCATTTGAAGAACTTTGATTATACTCTTCAAGCTAAAGCTGTGCACCTTACACTGCCTTGATGAGTAAAGAACTTTTCTTTCCACCTGTTCAGATTTGACAGCGCTACGCCACAGGATTTAGTCTGGACTTAGCAAACACCCACCGATGACCGAGCTGCTGTAACCATGGAGTGCTCGTCAGCATTGCCCCTCTTCGCTCGTCTTTGTCTAGGCAGGATTCTCCTTTACTCTGATTGGAATTGCAGCCGTTTCTGCTCAGGTTGGAGGTGTGTGGACACCAGCACGGTGCCTGCCTCCCCTGGGTCAGCTTGAGATCTTGCTATCATTTCATTCCACAAGGAACACAACTCCTCTCAGATTAAAAGGAAAAGAGGGAGAAACATAATTAAACATAGCAGTCCCCAGTGCTTGCTTAAATGCTAAATGAGGGGCCTATGTTTTTAAGAGCACATTCTAGGGGAAATTCTGAAATTGCAAGCTGCAGCCCTTTCTCTCTTCGTGCTCAGTTTGGCTGATTTCCAAAGCATTGAGGCCAGCAATTGAGGGACTGAAATGTAATCGGTGGTGATACGTTTGTGCCACATGAAACATTCTCTGCCTCTGAAGGCTCCAGAGGCTGTGGGAAGCAGCACATCAGCGACAGCTCCTGGCTGCTGGACTCCGCAGGGAGGGAAGGAAGATTGGTCGCAATGGTAAGAAACTCTGGAGTTTTCTACAGACCTAGTGTGTTACCTGGGAAAGAATTCTTAGCCTCTGCTGGTGAAAATGGCTGTTGGTAGCATGAGACTGAACAGTCACTTGAGCTCTGAGGCACTGTCCTTTTTTTATGAGAAGGGCAGGAACACTCTTTTCACCAGAGCACTGATTTTTTGAAAAATGATTCCTTTCATGTCAGAGGTAATGGTGCTTTGTAATTTATAAGGACTTCGCTGGGCTCTGCCAGGGAAGGACAGTCCTACGGTGACCTCAGATGTAAACCCCGATTAATGCATTCTCTGAAGTGTGCTCTTTCCTCTGAAAGTAACTGTAATTTCCATGAGATTCTTCAAAGAAATAGTTGTCTGTTTTCTCGATATGTTTGTGTGGCGGTAAAAATCCATTCATCCTTAAGCAGCTTGCTTTGAATTGTCACCGTTCTGTGAGCTTCACTGTTTACTGGAGGCATTAAGCATTACTAGAGCAAACTTCCACGTGATTTTTTTTTTCTTTTGAAACTATCATAGGCAGTAACAACAGGAGCCCAAGTTTTCAAAGAAAGAACGATCTGACTTTGGAGGAAGTTTGATTCAATCCAGTAAAGCAAACATTGCCAGGATGAGGTGATCCTTAACGTAAACGTGAGGTCTTTAGATGAGGTTTTAGAATTCACTGTGGAAGTTACAACATGTTTATCTCTTGGCCTCTGCTCTCTGGATGTCTTTTCCAAGTGTCTCCTCCCAATCACCCATGATACAAGGAGGAAAACACGGGAGATGGGGGGAAGAACTGGCTTGCAACAATGGGGCCACTAAACATTTTCTCGAAAGGATTAATGGACAAAGGACATTGATAATAAATAGGATTACATATCATTGAGAAGAAGATAAAGCCTATTACTGTTGAGAGAGAATGCCTGAAATATACTTATTTGACTGCACAGCTGATGTGTGGGAAATGATTTTTCTGTTTATAATCCAGATGAATGAAGAGACTGGTGATGAAGGGAGGGTTGGGAATTTTTAGAAGTGAGTTTGCCTTTCCAGCAACTCAGAAAGAGGGAAATTGGAAACCAGATCTATGAGAATCATTCATCTCATTCCCTGCCTTCATGCACCATCCCTAGATCATTCATTCATAGGGACACAGACCAGAGAAATCACTGCCAAGACAAAGGTCAGATTTTTCCCTCTTTAGGTGACACCTGGTACCTTTTATCATCTCATCCATTTGAGCAGTTCTTAACTGTTGAGAAGTCAAAATAAACTGTTTCTCCTTAGTCAGGATGGGTAAAAATAAATAAATAAATAAATAAATAATGCACATATCTAGCATGAGGATTAAATGGGACTCTGAGTGCTTCGGAATGTTTTGCCTGAATGCTTGAGGCAGAATCATTCCTTTCTTCCCTTCATTAGCCTGAGAACATTCCTTTAAGGATTATAAAGGACCGGGCTGAAATGCAGAGTCCCTCTCGCGCCAGCATACTTTGAGCATGGGCATAAACATACGCATAGTGATATTCTCTTACAGTATTCAGGGAGAAATGAGGAGCAGGTCAGGGGCTGAGATCATTGAAGTACAATCTGATGAAAGTGTACAGACCTCCGAAGAGAGTGAACTTTCCTTTGGAGTTGTGGAAGGGTGCGATGGGAACTAAGAGTGACTGCAAGCTGTTTACATTCAGGCCATCCTCTGGTTATTTTCATTAAGTACTGTTTAAAAGGTTGGGGAAAAAGTACCCAGTTTTACATTAAAATAAAAGCTTTGTTCTAAGTGAGCTCTTCTTAATGACAGACACTAAAATGGCAATAATTTAACAGGGACCACCTAGCTTTTGCCTAGGCAACCATATTTCACCTTTCATTTTAGTGAGTAAGAGACCACTGACCGGAAGAGGAGTGAATCTATAGATTGGATTTTCATTAAATCCTTTCCATGATGAAAAGGAAACCAATCATGTTTCTCATCATTGCAAATGTGATCAGTTTTCTTACCCAGGATCAAAGACACTCACTGTTTAAAACACTCTCCTTGACCTCATTAGAGTCAGGAGCGTGTCAGAACTTGCTAGATGTTATACCAAATAAGCCAGCCCAGCTTGGGCTCTGGCCTCTGATTACTTTTTAAATTTTATTTACAAATTTAAAGGAAATGCAAATAATTAAGTTCATATTACAAATTGCAGACGACTTTTAAGTTATTTCAAAGTGAGGAAAATGTGTAGAAGTTCTCAATATTTTACAAATAGCGAGGACATAATGTGCTATGTGCTGAGTGTTTTAAACCCTTTAGTAATCCCCATTCTTGCTTTTAAATACATATTTTAAAATGACTACCCCTGTTGCATTGAGGAAAGGCACACAGAGTTCTGTGCTTTCTGAAGGGCACACAGCTAGTGAGGGGTAATGCCAGGGTGGGAATAAATGGCTACTGGCTCTAGGGCCCTCATTCCTGAAACCACCTCCTCATATAGCCTTTCAAAGTAGAGAGGAAGAGAGCAGGCGCTAGATGGGTGCCTGACAACAAGTTACAGAAACTTTCAGTGCCCCAGCCTCGAAATTTCAACTCACCTTTGACATTTCTCTTTTCCTGTTCTTCCTTCCCGATGTCACCTGTTTTAGTTGCTTTGTCATTTGCTCACGAACACCTTATGTTCCTACTCTGACCAATTTCCCTTAAACAGCTGTGTCTAACTGGGAGACGGTCCAATGTGTGGAAAGAGGATATAAAGTTGCTCAGACAGGGAGTTAAATTTCTTTTTTCTTTTTAGATAGAATCTCATTCCGTCACTCAGGCCACCCAGGCTGAAGTGCAGTGGCGCGATCTCAGCTCACTGCAACCTCCACGTCTAAGGTTCAAGTGATTCTCATGTCTCAGCCTCCTGAGTAGCCGGGACTGCAGGCATGCACCACCACACCCAGCTGATTTTTGTATTTTTCAGTAGAGACAGGGTTTTACCATGTTGGTCAGATTGGCCTCGAACTCCTGGCCTCAAGTGATCTGCCTGTCTCAGCCTCCCAAAGTGCTGGGATTACAGGCATGAGTCACCACATCCAGGTTCTTTATTTTTCTTAATTTTATTATTATTTTATTTTATTTTTATTATTTTATTAATTTGTATTGGTATAAATGTATGAGGTATAAGTATAATTTTGTTATATGCATAGATTGCATAGTGGTGAAGTCAGGGAGGGAGTTAAATTTCTATGTTACACTCATTGTGTGATTTTGGACAGTAATTTTAAAACCTTTTTAATTCTTAGCTTTCTTCTCTGGAAAATGGGAATAATGATTGTTACCTCCATTGGGTCATCGTGAAGATTACATTAATATATTTGTGTAAAATAGAATGTTTAATTAGGAGACCATGACAAGGAGAAAAATTAGAAGGAAGCTTTAAAAATTATCTAGGTAAAAGATGATATGGATTTAAATTAGAATGGTAGAGAGAAAATGGAAAATAAAGCAGGAGATGATGTGAAAGAAAATCCACCTGCCCTGGCCACTGATTGGAGGTGAAATGTGGAAGAGTAAAGCAAATGACCCTGGCATTTGAAGCAAGCAGCTTGAAAAAAAAAAAAAAAAGAAGTGAATAAAACCCCCTCACTGTAATTCTTACATTACCTGGCATGCCACCTGTCTTAGTCTGTTCAGGCTGCTCTAACAAAATACATCAGACTGGATAACAGAAAAGCAACAGAAATTTGCCAGGCGCGGTGGCTCATGCCTGTAATCTCAGCACTTTGGGAGGCCGAGGCGGGTGGATGGCCTGAGGTCAGGAGTTTGAGACCAGCCTGGCCAACATGGTGAAACCCCGTCTCTAATAAAAATACAAAAATTAGCTCAGTGTGGTGGTGGGCACCTGTAATCACAGCTACTCGGGAGGCTGAGGCAGGAGAATCACTTGAACCCAGGAGGCAGAGGTTGCAGTGAACTGAGATTGTACCACTGCACTCCAGCCTGGAGGACAGAGCAAGACTCTGTCTCAAAAAGCAAACAAACAAACAACAGAAATTAATTCCTTATAGAGACTGGGAAATCCAAGATCAGGGTTTTAGCAGATTTGGTGTCTGGTGAGGGCCAACTCTCTGCTTAATAGATGATGCCTTCTCGCTGTGTGTTCACACAGTAGAATGAGCTCGATAGCTCTCTGGTGTCTCTTTTATAAGGGCACTAATCTGATTAGTGATGGCGGAGCCTTCAAGACCTCATCACCTTCCACATGCCCTACCTTCTAATACTATCACACTGGGGATTAGGGTTCAACAAATGAGTTTGGGAGGTGGGAGAAACAAATATTCACACCACAGCAGTGCCTTTCACATAGTAGGTTTTATATGGTGTTGAATGAATAAAGGCATAACTTAAGAGAAAAGCTGAGGGTCTATATAGTAGAGCATATAACACATAGCTATATGTGACTTATGTTATCTATTGGACTTTGAGTAACAGGCTATAGGTCTCATCTCTTTAATATATATCACATGTCAATAACTGTATGAGATGAGTCCTATGGCCTGTTCCCAAAGTCCAATGAGGTGTTTAGAAGTGAGTGACAATGTGGTGTGTCCTAGGAGAAATATATATTATATATATAGCCTACTTTATACAAATAATATATATATTATTTTATTATATAATATAATATTTATATAATATAAATATTTATATTATGTATAGTATAATTAAATATTTATATTTTATATAAATATATAATATATATATTATTTGTATAAAGTAGGCTTTTGATTATGTTCCTGAGGAGAAGATGGATCTAGAGGATCAGAGGAGGTTACATGCACCTATATTCCTATGTCCACAGGTTTCAGAAGCTTGAAGGTAATGAGTGAGGACAAATTAGATATAGTTAGAAATTACTAATGGCTACAGTGCCATTTTCTTGATCATTGATAACCTGTAACCACATTGATCAAATGAATAGAAATATGTGGAGGAGAATGAGTGCATACAAAATACCTCCCTCTTCTCCGGTACTTGAAAACTAAAGCACATAGAATAAAGGTATGAGTGATTTTATTAATAGGGTGGATCTAAGATGCTATTTATTGGAAAAAGAAGTATTGTGGTGACAAGTTTTTGGGAAATTGAATGTGTTGGTTGGCTTTGAGTTTCTCCTTGAAGATGGTGTCAAGAGCATTAGAAATTATGAATTACACATACCAACAATATAATGAAGATGAGTAATCTCATTCATTTTGCTGTGGTCTTATAGGAAGGAATTACTCTTGATGGGCTACAGGAAGTGCAAAGCTTAAAATAAGCAAATATGAGTTCTGTTCAAATTTTTATCCTATTGTTGAGCCTCCTGGATACTGATGATTCATGATGGATGCTGCACAGGTCCCATTAGGTGAGAAGACACAGAAGCCACCATACATGGGATGCTAGAGAAAATACCATTGATGTGGTGGCCTATTAAGTCTGATGTTGATGGTAAAATCAATGCAATAAATGGAAGTCCTAGGATAAATAAGCTAATTAGCTGCATTGCCTAGAAATTAAATAGGTTTGAGATGGAGGAAGTCTCTGGAGAGATGCTCATAGGATTACAAAAGAAGTGGTGTGGTTCATGTTGATAGCCTTGACTGCAACTTTAAATGCCCTCCTATAAATGTGGACTCAAGAATAATAGCAAAACTTTCTTAGGTGCTTCAGGTTAAGCTATGATACAGTTTACGTTCACTCTTCCTTCCTTTCCATTTACTTGTTTCAACACTCCTCATTCATTACTTTTTGCCTTTGTACTTCATCTCTAACTTCCCATCTTACTCCTTGGATTTAGCCATCCAAGGAGTAGGTGGATAATCTTCCCAGTTCACATCCTGGACACCTAAGGACTCAGCTCTGGGCATCTGCTTACTGGCTCTATGAAGTGCCCAGACTCCCTAAGACCCACCAACCAGTTCACCTTCCTTGATGTGGCCCTCCCTGTATTACACATAGATATAAGGAGAGCATATCTATTTGGAGAAATTTGTTGTTTGCATTCTGAAATTTGCCATGTTTGGATTTATAGCTTGTGTTGCAAAAGTGCTTGATTAATTTCCTCTTTTATTTTACCACTGTGCTTATTTTGTTTTCAATAGTAAAAACAAAATATAAAATATATTTAATATATAAAAGTGTCTTAAGAGATAGATAAAATACCTGATAGGGAAAAGGGGGGAATCACATCTGTATATACTTAAATCTCACTTTTTAACTAACTTCAGCCTTGTCCATAGGATTTAATATTTCTGATGGACACTTTGGCTGATTTAATAAGTTCATAGAATGTATAGCTTGTTAGCTTACATGTTCTGTCATAGCAAGGGCAGGCTATATTGCAATGTTGCTACACCTAGGACTTCCCCAGTTTTTGTTGATTCGGCATGGAGATTCCTTGCAGAACTGTGTTTACGACTTAAGTTTAAAATCACTGATGGATAAGGAATACCCGTTTATCCAATCTAGGACTTAGAAGAACTGCCTCTCAAATTTGTGTGAAAGTGCATGAACAAATAACGGATTAATTTCTTAAGATACTGAAAATTAAATACTGCATACAAATTGACTTTACTAGTTTAGGATTATAAGTGTTTCCTTTCCCTGCGTCTCTTCTTTGTATGGAGTGTCGATTTACTTAATCGGGTTTTTAAGTTAAAAAACTTTAAGATAACATAAAAACTGAAAAAGTGCACAAATCATAGATGTACAGCTCACATTTTTGCAAAATGAACACAATCTTGTAATTAGCACCCCGCTCAAAGAATAAAACATCACTGGTTCCCCAAGCCATCATGTGGCGTCTCATGATCCTGATTTAGAATTCCTAATCAAGATCTGCTTATTTTTAAGCTTTAAATACCCTTCTTTATTTTTTGTTTTAAAAAAGAAGCGAATAATCCCATTTATGTAACAGTGCCGCCATGGATAAAGTGGACGTAATACCTGGATGCTGCACGTAGATGGAAATCTTGAGGCACATGCTCACCACACTACTAGCAGTGGCGGAATTTGAGAGATGTTTTAGAACTTCTCAGTTGTTTTTATTCTTATTTAAATAGAGTTTTTCATGACAATGAGTATGTGAAGTTTACAAAAAAACATATAAGCATTTTTTAAGGAACTCTGGTACTTTAGAATGTCTTTGGACATGCCTTTGGAATGTCTCATGATGGGCATCGGCCAAGGTATTTTTTAAATCACTGGGCAACCGAGTCCATGCCCTAGACACTTTGTGCCCTTTGTGGGGAAGAGTTCTGTGCTCCCATGAGAGGTGCTCTTAAGTTGTCAGCGAGAGGTGGCAGAGAGAATGCTTCACTCTTTGCTTTATACAGAAGCTTACAGCTGAGCTACTCAATGTACTGGAAACAGCTGCAAATAGCAGAGATAAATTATCAATAGCAAAGATTAAAAATATGTCAGTTAACTTTCTGTTTATCTTTGTAAGGAATAAGTTTAATCAGAAATAACGTAATAGCCTTTCTGGGTCTTCCACATTGAGATATAACTGATGCTTCAACTTTGGCAGAGGATCCATTTTGAAGAGTTGCCAAGTACAATGGTGAGACCTCTTGGGCTCTCGCAGAAGGTGGGCTCGGTGGCTCCCCTGCCTAGGATGGCCCACTGTGTTCCTCGGGAAGAGGGGTGTCTGTCTGACTCCTTTTCCCCAAAGCTTTCTATTACTGTTACTTTAAAATGTGCAAAAGTAATATATATCCTTATGCACTCTAAAGTCAGGAAATATAAATTCTTATTTCATCTTAAGGGAAGATGAAAAAGGGCTGATAACTCTAAATCTGACTTATAACTGAGGAAACTAAGATAAGCTTAGTAAGCCAAATTAATTTTTTTTTAAAGTTTTTTTATGACTACTAAAGAAACACATGGTAATTTCGGAAGATTCATAACATGGTGAAAAGAAAAGTGAAATAATTTAGGGCTAATAACTGTTGGTTTTATATAGAGATATTTATAATCTAGCCTTTTTCATACACACACACAACACCACACACACCTACTAAAAACATACCATACACAGCATTTTTACTAATGGCAGTAGGTTAAATCTTTCATCAATTATATACTCATAGTATCCTGCATTTTGCTTCATAGCACTTACTACTATTTTAAATTATGTTATCATTTATACTAGCATCCTATTATACTCTTGATGGCTAGCACCATGCATGGCACATTACATATTTGTTGAAACAAACAGTGAATATTATACATTCTGCCTAGTCCTGATTTTTTCAACTTAATTTATTATAGCTATTGTTCCATACCAATAAATACAACTCACATAAATGTAACTCATCATTATAATGGACATGGATGCTTTTCCAATTTTCCTTCCAAATTACTATTTATAATAATGCTGAATGGGCATCTTTGTACATGCAAATTTAAGCAATCACCCAATCCAGTTCTCTTTGTATTTCATCCATACAGTGTCAAGGGGGTGAATGACCTGATTTTAGAAGTGTGAAGGAAAGTAATGGACAGAGCAGTAGGAGGAGGCGGAGTGAGGGAGAGGGAGCAATGAGTGGTTTCAGAAAAAACATAGTGTTCTGTGCTCAGCATGTGGATTGTGTTTAGTCTGTGAGTTAAGAAGGCTGGAAGAGGAGGAAGAGAAGTCTGTGGATGAGTCTCTCAAGGTAGCAGGTGTCTTGTATCTCAGATCCCTTTTAGCTAAAATCTCTGTGATTCTGGGGCTGGGCCCTTTGCAGGGCAAGGACACTCTATACAATTTTGCTCTTCATATGGTCCGCTTGGCCCTCATAATTGGTTAACTGCATTAGATGTTGATAAATGGATTATAATCTATACCCGATCAGTTTTCAATACAGTCAGACTCATGTGAATCATGCTCAGTCTTTAATTATTCTGCATCAAGCACTGATGATTTAGGAACTACACTTAGGTGGGGTGTAGCCTGCACCACCCAGCATTCTAAGGGGTCATTCCAACCCCACAACTCAGAACAACATTGTCGGCTGGTCCCAATTAATTCCTGTGACCAGCAACCAACTTTCAAGCTCCTACATGCTTGGCGAAACCAAACCTTATTCCCTTCCACCGGGGTGACTCGAAATCATGCTACTGCCTAAAAATGGATGAATAGAAATATCTATCTGAAAAAAACTAAAATTCCTTTTATTAAGGATTGTTTCAAGTAATTGTCTAGTTTATCTCAGATTAAGCTATATCCTGTAACTCCTTCTGCCTGCCAATATCTTAGGACAGGAGCTCCATTTATCCCCTATTCTATGTGTTAAGTGTTTCCAATTATTATGTATGGTGATATTTAAAGGATTGAAATATATACAAGAACACCCAACACTGGGCTCAGCACCCAGGAGGTATTTAGTACCTAACTGTAATTTGGAGTTTCCCAAACTGAACCTTGGCCAGTGGAGAACTTTCCACTGCTTGTGGCTTATACTGTCCCTGTTTCTCTTTCTCTTAATACTTGTGGATCAGGAGAGTTTTGTTTTGTTTCGTTTCCTTCTCACACATTTATTTAGCACTTATTGCAGGTGTGACCCTTATTCTGGGAAACTGGAGTTTAACAAAAAGCTCCTGAGTTCATGGAGTTTTCAATCCAGAGGAAGATGAGACAAATGCATTCGTTTATACCTGCAGTCCGTAGTGTGCTTCACGGAAAATTGGATGGCCAGATAGAGCAGCCATTTCTGCAGAAAGTCATCATCTCTCAACTTGATGGTAAACCCCTTTCTTTCTTCCTCTCTGGCTTCCCTCACATTTATTCTCCAGTAGATATTTATGGACCGCTAGCTGCTCACCAGATTCTATGCCCTTCTCTTTTTCCTGGACACATGGCTAATCTTCATTTTCCCGCTAGTGCCTGAGATCAGGCCAACTACATGTAGGCAGAAGTGATGTGGGCTCCTTCCAGGCCTACCCATAAAAACTTCCTATGAACGTGCCTCCATGCCTTTTTCCCATTCTGCTGGATGAATGGGAAACCCTGAATGGCCAAGGTTACTTGGAAGCCATGAGTTGAAGATGGCAAAGATAACCATCAGCCTCGGTCTCCGAATGACCTTGTTGAACAAAGCCCCCTTCCCCGGCTCCTTCCCCACATGCAATTGACTTGGACTCTACGTGAACAAGAAACAAACTTTGCTTGTCTTTGAGCCATTCTACATTTTGATCTATTTGTTAAGCAGTGAGTGAGGTACCTTAATTTTGTCAAGTCCCTGGTAGCTCTTAAGCGCTATGCCAGGTGGTGGGGATACAGTGGCAATCCAGGAACTAAAAATAAACATGTAAACAAACATGAGGGAACTAAACAATAAGCATGTAAAGAAAACAGAAATATACATATTGAGATAAGTGCAATGAAAGGAATTAACAGGGTGATAAGAGTAACAAGCTGGGGAAGGGGCAGCTGGCTGTGAACTAGGCTTTGAATAAAGCATAGGTTTTGACTCCTAAACAGGGATTGTTGGTTAAACTCTGAAAGTAGGAAACTAATTATCAATTAAAGGAGGATACAGGAAAATTGCAGAAACCTAGGACAGCACCCTGACTCCCCTTCTAAACCTGTTCCAAAATACTACTTCTGCAAATGGTTAAAAATTCCAAAAGGCCGGGTGCGGTGGCTCACGCCTGTAATCCCAACACTTTGGGAGGGACGAGGTCAGGAGTTCGAGACCAACCTGGCCAACATGGAGAAACCCCCGTCTCTACTAAAAATACAAAAATTAGCTGGGCGTGGTGATGCGTGCCGGTAATCTGAGTACTCAGGAGGCTGAGGTAGGAGAGTCGCTTGAACCCAGGAGGCAGAGGTTGCAGTGAGCCAAGATTGCACCATTACACTCCAACCTGGGTGACAAGAGTGAAACTCCATCTCAAAAAAAAAAAAAAAAAAAAAAGAAAAAAAATTAGCCAGGCATGGCAGCTCAGGCCTGTAGTCCCAGCTATTTGGGAGACTGAGGCAGGAGAATTGCTTGAACCCGGGAGGCAGAGGTTGCAGTGAGCCAAGATTGCACCGCTGCACTCCAGCCAGGGCAACAGAGAGAGACTCCATCTCAAAAAAAAAAAAAAAAATTTTTTTTTCTAATGTGCAAGCAACCATACATGCTGTCACGCCATCCCTGACTACAGATTACCCCCAGTGGACCTCATATACCTTGTGCATCCAGAGGAGAGTTTAGGGACTTTTAAAAAGTTACTTGTTAGTATCAGGCACCATAATCAAGGATATCTACGAATGCCCCAAAACTCTTGCAACCCTCTTCACTATTTTGCAACCAATGGAATAAATGATAACTTAGACTCCCATAAAGGTAAAAAATGGGAAGGGTAGAAACAAGTGCAAATTTTTAAAATGAAAGGAAGAGGTAATACTTCTCTACGATAGCACCATTTGTTGCTTAACAACTCCGGATCTTATACAGTAGCACAGTGATGACAGCATGCACTTGGCTCTGCCAAGCACTTTGTGTGATGTGATCTTGGGCCCGTTTCTTAACTTCTGTGTGCCTCAGTTTGTTTATAATCATAGCTAGTTCAAAGGGTGACATGAGAATTAAATGAGTTAATATTTATGAAACACTTAGGATATTGATGAAGCTGACACATAGTAAGTACTTATTAGCTGTTTGTAAACTAAATTTTTTTTTTTTGAGACGTAAACTTGCTGTGTTGCCCAGGCTGGAGTACAGTGGCTGAATCTGCAACTCTGCCTCCCAGGTTCAAGTGATTCTCCTACCTCAGCCACCCTAGTAGCTGGGATTACAGGCGCACACCACCACACCTGGCTAATTTTTGTGTTTTTAGTAGAGACAGGGTTTTTCCATGTTGGCCAGGCTGGTCTTGAACTCCTGACCTCAGGTGATCCGCCCATCTCGGCTTCCCAAAGTGCTGGGATTACAGGTGTGAGCCACCATGCCCAGCCTGTAAACTAAATTCTTACAGACCAGAGCTAGGAGGGTAAAGGATGAGAATGAGTGAACCGCAGGGCATCACTTCTTTGGCAGGCGGTCGGTGCCATTGTCATAAAGTCTGTTGGTCACTTTGTAGGCCCTAAAGAGAGGCATGTGTGGGACATGCCAATATAATACCGATCCACCTCAGTTACTTTCGATTTAAATGTGTGTGATTTGTGCCATCACTGGTATCCCTCCAGTGCCAGCTAATTGTGCTATTTTTAAGCACAGAATTTTGAAACAGTAGAGTTCTTACAGATCATCTTGTACCTCCCCTTCCTGAGGATACTTAGGTCCCAGAAGGTGAAGTGACTAATCGAGATCACATATAAACCTCTGACAAAGGGGTTCAACTTTCAGGACTCCTGGTTTGGTGCCCTGATACCCCATTCTCCCTTGCTTTGTCTAACCATACGTTGTCTGATGGTTTAGCCTCATAATCCAAATCCATAATTCCAAGAGGCTTCTTTTTGTTCTTTTAAATTTCTAGACTAACTTTTAGAAAATGTCTTAGAATAAATATTAAATGTAATAGAAATATTTGCTTACGTGGTAGTGGGTAGAACGTGGTGCAACCTCTTGATGGTCTAAACTGTAAGATTTTTGTTTTTCATAAGTTACACACTAAGGCAGTGACAAGACACATTGCCAACTAGAACTTAAAGCAAATGGCACATGAGCTTGTATCCAAATCCTTAACCCCTTAAGGTGAGTGTATTCTAAAAACTTAGCTCGATAAACATCAAATCTCTTTATAATTAGCTTATATGTATAGGCTGATTGTCTTCAGTTGTACTTTTTTGTCTGTGTCCTTTGGATAAAAAGCTGTCTGGGTCTGTGGATTTGAGCTATTGTCTTTAATAATTAACATAGTTGTGTTGTAAAGATAAATTTTTTTTTAAAAGGTGAATTCTAAGAACAATTACATATTAAAACAGTTGCTCACGGAGATCTTGATATAAAATGACCCTACCAGTTAAACATTTATGACAGGCATGTGGACTCTGGAGGCAAGGAGATGAAAATTGCAATTCTGAATGGATTTTTTAACAGGGCAAAAAGAATGATGTGATTGCCTTTCCAAGTGGAATGAATGCCATTTAGATGATTAGAGGATGAAAAATAAGACCTACGAAAGAAATGTTAAAGTAAATGGGATTATTTTACTTTGGAAATGGAGAAGCATAGAGTGATTTAATATGCATTTGAGTGTCTGAAGGATTGTTACACCAGAAGCTGGTGACCAACAAGTTTCCATTACTACCGTGAACAGAAAGAGGGGGTGGGGTTTCATTTGCACTGGGGATTTGGGTAAGACACAAGAATACTTTTCTGATAGGGAAGGCTATTGGATACTCTAATGGGTTTTGAAAGTTGTCGGATATTTTTTGAGGATCCACTGTGTGCAGGTCATTGCACTTGTGAATGGAGTTTTTTTCTTTCTCTACTACTTTTTATAAGTCAGAGGCTTACCTTTCTGGGTTGGTTTCTGTGAGGTTCTACTTGAAGGCATAGAGTAGTGGTAGATGATTTATCTAAAGTAATTTTAATCTTATGCTTCCCATGTCAAAGGTAGAAAAGAACTAAAAGTAAGTACATTCTCATTACCTCTAGCAGTTACATTCCATAAAGTCACTATGATCACTGAATTAGTGGATGCTCACCCATTGCTCTTTTAGGAAATACAAGGCTAGGCTTCTCCAAGCCTCTGGTCACAACATTTTTTTCAGCTGGTCAATACATAACCTTGTTTTATGTGTGTTTCTGTTTAAAGACACTTTATTTGATATGTATTGTTGATTCATTAACACTGAACTCACAGCCAACAGTGCTATAACTTAGGCCTGAACAAAGCTTATCTAAAACACATGTTTTCTCCATAAGGCACATCACAGCCTCCTGGCATTTAGGAACACTATACACACTTCAATGCTACACCTGGGGGGCATTTTAAACAGTATAATTACCAACAAAAAACACACAGATGCTAAGGCCTTGTGGTTTTAGCATTCTAATAGATCACAAAAAGATTATGGCAGCCAAGCTGAAACGAGAGAGCAGAGTGTCACCTTGTTTGACCTCAACTGGGAGCGCATGCACTAGGGACTCAGATTTTTCACCACTCTGCACATGATTGCAAATGACCATCAAAGCCCTTGTGAGTATCAATTTTAGGGTAACAAAAAATTTTGGCAAGTAGGTGAATTCGCAAATAGGAAATCCATGAATACTTTGGATTGACTAACTGTACTGTGTGTTCAGACTTTTTGTCAAAGCAGTTATCTTCATTTCAATTTAATATGAACAGCTTACTGTGCAGCTGTTTAAAAAAAAAACAAGGGCTGGGGAGTGAGGAGGGGAGAGCATCAGGAAAAATAGCTAATGCATACGGGCTTAATACTTAGGTGATGGGTTGATAGATGCTGCAAACCACCATGGTAAATGTTTACCTATGTAACAAACCTGCACATCTTCACATGTACCCTGAACTTTAATAAGTAAAATTAAATTGGAAGGCCAAGGTGGGCAGATCACGAGGTCAGGAGATCAAGACCATCCTGGCTAAAATGGTGAAACCCCGTCTCTACTAAACATACAAAAAATTAGCTGGGTGTGGTGGCGGGTGCCTGTAGTCCCAGCTACTTGGGAGGCTGAGGCAGGAGAATGACGTGAAGCTGGGAGGCGGAGCTTGCAGTGAGCCGAGATTGCACCACTACACTCTAGCCTGGGTGACACAGTGAGACTCCATCTCAAAAAATAAATAAATAAATAAAATAAAACAAGGGATGTCTCAATAGACCATAGATAACATATGACAATGAATTCATGTCTCAGAACACCATCTATACGATGACAGCTCCTACATAGGTATCCCCCTCCCCAGCATCTTCATTGCTTCCTGACTCCTGTATCTATAGCCTCCTTGGCATTTCCAGTTGGAACTCTGCTAGGCATATCAAACCCACCTTGTCTAAAACAATGTCTTGATCACCTCTCCTGTCCCAGGCTTGCTTTTCCCATTTCAGTAAATAACAACTCTCTCTTTTCAGTAGCTCAGGCTAGAAAGCAAAGTCTTCTCGGCTCTTCTCTTCCACTCCTGACATGCAGTCCATCAGCAATTCTTGGCAGCCCAACATTCATGAGGTATCCAGAAACTGACCGCCATCCACCATTTCTACCGACGCTGGTCCATGCCAGCATCACCTTCTGCCTACACTATGGTAACTGTGTCCTGATGGGTCTCCTTGTTTCCAGCCTTGCTGCCTGCAGCTTCTTAGCATAGCGGTCAGAATGATCAGTCTTCTGAAAGGTATATCTTGTAGATCCCTCCTCCACTCTTGACTTACTAGCAGCTTTCCATCTTACTCAGAGTAAAAGCCAAATGTTGGACCAGAGGCTACAAGAGCGTATGTAATCTGCCTTCCTCCTCATTCTCTGACCTCATTTTCTGTCAGTCTCCCTTACTTACTCCATGGCAGTCATGGTGACCTCCTGCTCCTCAGTAGTGACAATCACACGCTGGTCTCAGGACCTCTGCATGTGCTCTTCCTTCTGTCTGGGCGATTCCCCTCTGATAGCTGCATGATCTTGTCTTGAGGCCACTACTGAAACGTCCTCACATAAAGCAAGCTTCCCCCTCCCCATACCCTGCTTTAAGTTTTTAGAATAATACATATTACCATCGGACATAGTACATATTTATTGGACCCTGATTTGTCCTGTGATCCCCTCTACTAAGCATTAGCTTCTCCAGAACAAAGACATTAGTTTGTTCACTGCTGTGCCAAATGTCTGGGTCAATGCGTTGCTCATAGTGGGTATTCGATAAATATTTATTGAATGAATGAATAAATAGATGAATAACTACAGAACAATATCCTCAATATATTAAGTGGAAAAAATAAGGTGCGAAACAATATGTTTAGATTGCTGTATTTGCATAAAAAGGGAGCCAGCACAAACATGTCTATTTCTCTATCCTAAGATTAAATGAGTTCCCAGGATTGTACAAAAGCCTGGCAGGAATGGCTGTCCTGAGAGGAGAATTCTTTCAAGGGTGAGACAGAGACACCTACTTTTCACTATATATTTAATACTTGTGTGGTTTTTGCAATGTGCATGGAACATCTTCCCCCAAAACAAACCAACTGAACAATTTTAAGAAAATTTTACTTGAAAACCCTCTATTGAGCCTTGTTGAACATAAGCTATGTTTATGAAAGAATCAGAACTTCAGGGGACCAGAATGTATTGCCCCATTCCTGCAGAATACAGGCTCTCAGACAGTTCCTTTTTGCTTTTTTTCCCCTCTACGGTTTTGTGTATTTTCAATAGCTTCTCTTTATTATAAGAAAACAGGGTTGACATTTTTGGGTCATTGTGCTCCTTGCCATCTGCCACAGAAACTTTGACATGGGAACGAGAGAGGCACCATGTCAAGCTGGCAGGATTCTGAGGGTGATTTTAAATCCGAAAAATTCCATCTCTGTATCTCTTGGTCTCATTTTAAATGGCCACATTTTCCTGTGAAAGTCTGCCTTTTGTCTCTTTGGCTTTTTTTTTCTTTTTGTTTTTCTTCCTGTAGCTTTTCCCCTGTGGTTTTCCATTTGGCCTTCCCACATCACAAATCTAATTGGGAAAAATGGACAAAAATGCCCAAGAGGGTGGCGATGGTGCCTACCCATGTGACCTCCAACACTCTACAGCCTCCTAGGCTTTATGCCAGGGGAGTCTTCCAGGGCTTGTCTTGGATAAAGAGGAGAATTTCATTTGCTCCTGTGTGGTTGTACTTAAACCCGTGTGTCTTGTGGATAAAGGTCTCAGAAATCTGTCAGTGGCTTTAAGCCCCAGCTTTAGACGACAGATTTCTAAAGACACACCTTCCATTTATGAGCATTGAGCAGGGACAGAGACCACACAGAGGTGTGAATGAAGGCCCCTCCCATATTACAGTGTGGTCCATTAGACTTCACAAGGAGTGTCCCCTACGTTGGCAGCCTCGCCTGTAGCCTTGTCTAAGCTCGTTTTCTCCTTTGATTTCCAATAGGAATGAATAGCTTCCTTCTAATATTTTATCCTTGGTAGTGTCCGAATTTCCTATTGATGCTATTCCGTGTCCTTCTTCCTATCCTACCCAGTAGTTTCTGGAGTCTTGGTGAAAAGTGTAAAAGAAAACAAAAATATGCTGTAAAAATAAGTACTGTAATTGCCCATAGTTCATTATACACAGTAAATGGGTGCCCAGTAAAACTTTATCAGTCACAATGCAGCACTAATTAGAACATGTAGTTTTATCACTTTCATCATTCCATGAACCACCGCCCCTGACTTCCACTACCGTTGTGCCCCCTTTCCTGTGGCTGGTGATGCTGGATGATGTCACTTTAGCTTGTGGGTGAGCAGAACAGGTGGCTTCTCAGATTCCCTTGTAGGATTCCTGTGACTGTCATTGACTTACCTCTTACGGTAGGATTAGGATACTTAAGTGAACAACAGTGCAGAGACCTTCTCTAACTTTATAATCTTCTTACACAGTTATGACTTAGTGGCCTAATTTTCTCTGGCACAGAGTAAAAACAGAGTACTTAGGACATCTGGTTTTCTAGAGCTTTTGGAGTCAGAGTTAACACAGATGAAGGGACAGTGGTTCTCTCCAAAATAACCAGATGCTTGACTATTCACATATATGTGACTTAAATTTCTATTACCTTGTTTACACAATTAAATCTGGCAGGTGACAGAGTTGAAAAATGTTATTGCTCTTCCTGTTGTATTTGTTTCCCCTTAAAGTAGTTAAAAGAAGATGTGTAAATAAGCTGTGGATGAGAAATATAGCAGGATCATGGTGTACCAAGAGCAAGCGTCACATGCACCACATATTTTATCGTTTGAGAGGCAAGCGAGAGTGAAATAGGAAGAGCTTAGGCAGAATGATGTGGATGATAGTAATTAAATCTATCATGTGGAACCGATTCATCTCTTATCCTCAGTCGCTAGAAAAGATTATCCATGGTGGCCTTTTTTATCCTTTAAAAGAGATCATGTTGACCAAGCACCTTAACAGATATCTGTGTTCTTTAAAGCCTCTGGGTTGACCCAGGCTTATTTTATGCAGCAACTTTTACACCAAAACTGTTTCTTTGAAGAAAGGGGGAAATGGAGAATTATTGTTCAATGCATGCAGAGTTCCAGTTTTGCATGACAAAATGAGTTCTGGGTGGGAGTGATGGTTACGCAACAGCGTGAATGTTCTTAATGACACTAAATTGTACACTTAGAAACAGTTAAAATGGTATATTTTATGTTATGTGTATTTCACCACGATTTTTCACCTGAGGCTTGGACATGAGGCGTGTGGTCAGCTTCAGGGAAGACAAGGCCAGAGGAGATGCTGGGTTCAGGAATACTTCCTGCCTCCCAAAGCAGACAGGTGATGAAAACTAAACGTTGACAGAACTCGAGATGCTCACTCAGGAGGCGCTGCAGGACAGGCGTGGGGCATGGTGCTTGTGCATCCAGACATGTTCAGACTTCATCTAGCCCTGATGCTTGCATAGAGCTCAATGATGAGGAGCCTACCATTAAACTCAAAGCTGTGAGCTAGCAAGTTAGACATGTGCCTGTGAGTGATGTCTGCTCCCAATTGAGGGTTGGGCTGCAGTCAGAGGAGGAGAACCAGCAGGTAGAAGGGAGGGCTTTGGGTCCTGGGCAGTTTAGGACAGGGACTTCATTGTTGGAAGGGACAGATAGCCAACATAGGGAAACCAGCCCACCACTAGGAGTAGGAGTAAGGGGTGGATGGCAAGCACATGAGCTATTCATGCTCATTTCTGGGTGTTATGGATGGAATGTGTGTGTCCACCAAGAATATATATACTGAAACCCTAAGCTTGGTGTGATGCTCTTTGGAGGTGTGTCCTTTGAGAGGTAATTAGCTTTAGATGATGTCATGAGGGTGGGGCCCCCAAGATGGGATTAGTGCTCTTACAAGAGGAGGAAGAGAGACCAGAGCTCTTTTTCTCTCTGCCATGGATTCACTGAGGACTTACTGAGAAGGTGGCCCTTTGCAAGCCCAGAAGTGGGCCCTCACTGAGGAACCAGACCAGTCAGCTCCCTGATCTTGAACTTCCCAGCCTCCAGAACTATGAGAAATAAATTTCTGTTGTTTAAGCCAGTCAGTCTATGGTACTTTGTTATGACAACCCAAACAGACTGAGACACTGAGATGCTATGTGCTAGGCCCGACATCCATGCAGGAGCTTGAGGAAATTACATGGAATTCTAGTGGTGTTTTGGGATTCCTGGCCCCTTAAAGACTTGTGGAGCCTAAGGTGGCAAAGAGGCCACTAAAAAATGTCTATGCAGCTTGGCCTGATGCATGGCTAATGCTTTCTGTGGTCAAGCTAGACAGTAGAATAATTTTGTATGTCTGTGTTGGGGCATGAGTTGGCTACAAAAAAATGACCTAAAAATGAATTCTGAGTTTTCCCTAGGAAGAAAATTACATTTGTATCATAGATATTTTCGTTTCTTATTGCATCTATAAATTTTATTTGCTTGAAGGAGGAGTAGAGTCAATGAACGTTATAATCCATAAATTCAGGTTTCTCCTTTTACTTTATGGCCAGATTCTCATGGTGATTTAAACCCACAGAAGGAGTGATTAGTCTTGAATACAGAAAGGAAGCAATGATTTAGATGCCACTGGGAATGTACTCATGATAAGAAGTAAAAATGGTAATCAGTCAGAAAGCCAATTAAAATATTTCATGCAGATTTCCTGGGTTGTTATGGATAGCTGCAGCCATGTTGATAAATGCATAAAGAGCATTTCCAAGCCCGGGTGTTGTGGCTCATGCCTGTAATCCCAGCACTTTGGGAGGCTGAGGCAGGAGAATCACTTAAGGCCTGGAGTTCGAGACCAGCCTTTGCAACATGGCAGGACCTTGTCTCTAAAAAAAGTATTAAAAATTAAAAAAAATTTTAAAAAGATTATTTCTATTGTTAATTACAGTCCCCACAATTAAACTTAGGTTGCTAATTTGCTTTCTTGTGGTTTAAATTATTCCCGGTAAGCTTGCATTCTTGCTCCTGAGTTAAATGCACAAGTGTTTTGCCAAACTGAAGTTAAATTGCTCTTTGGCAGATGTTAAAGTTGGACCAACATCCAGGGAAATTCTGTTTGGCTTTGAGGGTTATTGGAACTTTTTCAAGATCAAGCTTTCCTTTTCATTTCAATATTATTCGTGGCATTCCGATTTCTCATCAGATGACTTTTTCGTGGTCATTCAACTTTGAACTGTAGCTCGCTGTTCACAGAACCATGGCATCATGAGGCTTGAAGGGACTGTGAAATGTCATCCAGCCTGACAGGGCCACATCCATCTTTAGAGGAGATGGACGGTCTGTGCCTGAGACAGAGCTGAGAACCTTTGCCTGGAAGCCTCAACATTCATCACCGAGGGCAATGACTGCTGACCCTAACTAAAGGAACAATTTTGTGATTTCTTTGTCATGCTTAAATATTTTTCCATTTGTTTCACTAGAGTAAATTTTTATCATCGTGATTTCTTCCCTTCTTGTTCCTTTATCTCCTGTGCTGTTTCTTCTAACCATAAAATCAGTACAATTAAGGGTTGGTTCTACAAGGTTTTTTTTTCTTCTTCTTCTTTGGTATAGAATTACAATATGAGATTACAAAGTACTGAAAAAAATATAGGGTAGGAAGCTTTGGGTTATGGAAGCAGCTGCTTAGGTTAACTGTGACATTTGATGAATAGATAACCTGCAGCTGGGAGCTGAGCTAATTGAGGTCATGCATTATGCTCGTGAATTTGAAAGATAACCTGACATTTTGCAAAGACAGGAGACTTGTCTGGTTAGCCAGTTTAAGGAGTTTCTACAGCAGGGCTGAAGCTCCCATCCCTTTTTTCAACCACTGTTCACTGGTAACTCTGTACCTAGTAAAACAATTTCTGTTTTAGAATAAATATTGGAAGGGTGGTTGAGCTCTTTTTCTAGCCAGAGGATAAATATTTCCTCATATAGAACAAAACTGTGAGACTCTACAATTGGATTATAAGCCAAGGCAGTTGAAGGCAAAATAGGAAGTGATTTTGGCTTTTGTTTCTCTCATCCACCAGATTTCAGTGAAGTGTATTTTCATTTATTTTAAACGCTCACTGTATCAAAGAGTCTAAAATAGTTGTTTCTTGGAGGAGGTTTCAGCATACCTACTTTTCCCTAACAGTCTGTTAGAATTCAGTGTGCTTGCTTAAAATGAAGACAATAAGTGGATAGAAAAAATAACACAGGAGTGTATTTGGAAGTTTCTGGAAATTCTCTAGGGTGAAACTTCCACCATTTTAGCTCTTAAGCTCATAAGGGAATCAGCTCTGTTTCAGTCTGGTTACAATTTTTTTAACCTCCCTGGTCCTACCATCTCTACAGCTCATATTTTTGCTATGTAGACCAGAGAAACACTATTTATCAAGAACATTGAAGAAATTCTGTTAATCATATCTGACTATTAAAATGGGGGAAAAGAATGGGGAAAAAGACAGCTGTCTTTGCAAGCACACATCCGTTTCTGGTGTGCAGTGGCAGTTAAAGTCATCTTTCAAAGGCTCTCTGCTGTCTGTTGGTGCCAGTAGGCAAGATAAAACAATTTTGTCAGCTAATCATCAGTCTGCTCCAGATGATGCACAGACTGGTCTAAGAATAAATACGTTAAAAAGGAAAGCAATTAGCTTTCCATATGGGATGGCGGAGTTTCTGCTTTGTAAAATTTCCAAGAGTTTAAGACCTGCTGATTCAAAAGTATTAAGATGAACTAGAAAGCTTTTCACGTTCCCATCTGCCACCATTGTGCTTTTCACTGTTCCTAGATTTAACATGATATTAAATTGAATCATGGTAGAACAAACCTTTACAAGACTTGATGCTTGTTAATATATCTGACACACAATAATGTAGATAGGTTGGAAGACATGATGCAACTCCTGATGAAAATATAAAGAAATGCACCAAGGTGACAATATTATTTGGTTATATTAATAATTTTGTTATTAGTAAAATATTACTGTTGATATCTTCTGGAGTTACTCTAGAAACTTTCTACAGTATCCTTGAGACTTTTGATCCCCCAAATGAATGACATAATATACTGATAATAACAATTCTAATTCCTAATTATGTGTTGATCAAGGTAATTCTAGCTGTTGTGACATATAAAACTCAAAATATCAGTGAGTTTATAAAATAGACGTTTATTTCTTGCTCAGATAAAGTTTGAGATGAGTTTTCTTGATTGGAAAGTGGCTTTTCTCTAAGTGGTGATTCAGGAACTTAGGCTCCTTCCATCTTTGGCTTTGTGTCCTTCAATGTGTTGCTTCCAAGGTGCTTACTACCTTCAGCAAGCCAATCTGTGGATGGGTAAAAAGCATGGTGGGTTGGGCATGGAAAAGTTCTTACTGGCTAGGCCTGGTGGTGGCGCACATCACTTCTGCTCACATGCCATTGGCTGGAACTCTGGCATATAACTACCCAGAAGGCTGGGAAATGCAGCCTAACAATGTTCCCAAGAAAAAGAAATAGATTTGGTCAACAATTAGTCTCTGCCCCAATGATCTAAGAATAGATTTGTGTAAGCTATAAAAATGTACTTCTTAATTATTGCTTATATTGCATTTCCTGTTTTAAGCTGAGGAGATTTGCCTCACATATATACTTACAGTCATACCCCACATAACAATGTTTGGGTCAGTGACAGAGCACATGTATGATATCAGTCCCGTAAGATCGTAGTGGGCTGAAAAACTCTAATCGCCTAGTGATATTATAGTTGTAATGTGGTGGTGCAATGCATTACTCATGTGTTTGTGGTGATACAGGTGTATCACCTACTGTACTACCAGTCTTACAAAAGCATGGCCCATGCCCTGACATGCAGGGCATAATACTTGATAATGACAGGAAATGGTGATGTTGCTGCTTTATGTATTTACTGTATACTTTTTATTGCTATGTTCGGGTGTACTCCTGTTTGTTAACTTTTTTTTTTTTTTTTTTTTTTAACTGGAAACGGTCTCAGGCAGGTCCTCCAGGAGGTATTTCAGAAGAAGTCATTGTTATATCAGTTGACAGCTCTGTGCGTGTTATTGCTCCTGACTACCTTCCAGTGGGATAAGATGTGGAGGTGGAAGACAGTGACATTGATGATCCTGACCCCGTGTGGGCCTAGGCCAATGTTTGTGTCTCAGTTTTTAACAAAAACGTTTAAAATGTTAAAAATTTAAAATATAGAAAAAAGAATAGGATACAAAGAAGGAAAATATTTTTGTACAACAGTACAATGTGTTTGTATTTTAAGCTAAGTGTTAATACAAGAGTCAAAGTTAAAAAATTAGAAAGTTTATAGACTAAAAAAGTTACAGTAAGCTGGCCGGGTGCAGTGGCTCATGCCTGTAATCCCAGCACTTTGGGAGGCCAATGTGGGCCGATCACAAGGTCAGGAGATCGAGACCATCCTGTCCAACAGGATGAAACCCCATCTCTACTAAAAATACAAAAAAATTAGTCAGGTGTGGTGGCGGGCACCTGTAGTCCCAGCTACTCAGGAGGCTGAGGCAGGAGAATGGTGTGAACCCGGGAGGTGGAACTTAGAGTGAGCTGAGATTGCGCCACTGCACTCCAGCCTGGGTGACAGAGCGAGACTCTGTCTCAAAAAAAAAAAAAAAAAAAAAGTTACAGTAAGCTAAGGTTAATTTATTATTGAAGAAAGAAAAATGTTTAAACACAAATGTAGTGTAGCCTAAGCATATAGTATTTATAAAGTCTATAGTAGTATACAGTAATATCCTAGGCCTTCACATTCACTCACTCTCACTCACTGACTCACCCAGAGCAACTTCCGGTCCTGCAAGCTCCATTTATTGTATGCGCCCTCTACAGGTATACCATTTTAATTGTTTATGCTGTATTTTTAACTGTACTATTTCTTTGTTTAGATACACAAATCCTTACCATTGTGTTATAATTCCCTACGGTATTCAGGACAGTTACATGCTACACAGGTTTGTGGCTGAAGAGCAATAGGCTCTACCATATATCCTGGGAGTGTAGTAGGCTGTGCCATCTAGGTTTGCGCAAGTGCACTCCACGATGTTCATGTAAGGACAAAATCACCTAGTGACACATTTCACAGAACGTATCTCCATCATTAAGCAACAACACATGATTGTATTTTTTTTGGAGACAGAGTCTTGCTCTGCCTCCCAGGCTGGAGTGCAATGGCACCATCTCAGCTCACTGCAACCTCTGCCTCCTGGGTTCAAGTGATTCTCCTACCTCAGCCTCCCTAGTAGCTAGGATTGCAGGCGTGCACAACCACACCCAGCTAATTGTTGTATTTTTAGTACAGACGAGGTTTCACCATCTTGGCCAGGCTGGTCTTGAACTCCTGACCTCAGGTGATCTACCCGTCTTGACCTCCCAAAGTGCTGGGATTACAGGTGTGAGCCACCACGCCCGGTCAGCAACACATGATTGTATTTTTAAAATACTGGGAAACATTTTGCTCTTTGAGGTTTTTATTCCTGGAAGTGGGAATAGAAAGGAGCTGTCTGTGAGCTGCTGTACAAACATCCTGAAGCAACAAGCTTATTCTCCAGCTTTCGAAAAGCAGTGAGCAATTAGTTTCTAAACGAAGGCCATGACAGTGGACCCCAGAGAGGAAACCCAATTTGGGAGATACTTCTCAGGTGATATGGATAAAACTTGATATCTCAGTGGATTTGAAGTATTAGGGTGACAAAATCACGCTGATTTTTTTTTTTTCTATGAGGGAGCAAGGAAATTTGGAATAAGTTTGGGAAAAGGAGAAGGTGGGATTATAAACTCAGTTTTACACATATGAAATTTCAGGTGGCCAGAGAAAAAATCTGGGCGTATTTTGAAATTTCCTGTGTAATAAGGGCAGATAAAGGACTTGGATCATCTGAATATCAGTCAGGTTTTAGAAGTCATTGCATCAGCTCAGTTTAGTCAGAAAAAAATGTGAGAGGAGAACTGTGTTATGGGACCTCAGGCAAACTGATGGCTAATCAGAGCCATTAGATTTAGTGTTTAGAAGAGACATAGTAACATTATCAGTAGAGCATAGTGGGGTGGGGCAGGAGCCAGATTGAGAGGGATTGTAAAATAAATGGACAATAAGAGGGAGTAAGGGAAGGCATTAGCTGTAGAGAAGGGATTACAAACACTTATCTTCACTCTCATGAGCAGCAATAATGCAAACACTGAGCAGAGTCCAGCCACGGGTGCTCAGCAGTGTTATCACTGTTATTATTGATTATTTCTTCTCTGCTTTTTACATATGAAGAAACGTTGTGAGGAGTTTGTTGGCATCAGTTTCATCTGAGGAAGGAATAGGTAAACTATACTTGCATGAGTAAGATTGTATCAGACAATGATGGCAGTATGAAAATAAACCATTGCCCCTGTGTGTTAGAGTGCCTTTTTCTGGCTTCATTTAACCCATATTCATTGAACCCTTGTTATGTGCTGGGCATTCTGATAGGCAGTGGAGGGGGAGCAGTGAATATGACCATGACCTTCTCGTGGAGCCTAGCATTCCCAGAAATAATGGGAATGTCAATTCTGATAAGGGGATTCCCATACAGGGTGCTATTGATAGCATCTTCTGGTGAGATGGCTGATGGGTTTGTTTATTCTCATTTTTTTAAATAAAGACGGGGTCTCAATATGTTGCCCAGGCTGGTCTTGAGTTCCTGGGCTTGAGTGATCCTCCTACCTCAGCGCTTCACTGTGCCTGGCTATTCCCATTTTATAGATGAAGAAACCGAAGACCAAATAGCGTAAATGATTTACGCAGGGTTACCAGGTCACCAGTGTCTGAGTATAAGTGACATAGCATGCTTCTAATAACTCACGTATTTCGCCACAGTATTCTATCCTTTCAGATATGACACTTCCTGCCCTTCCACTGCACCCCACTTTTATCCATGTACCCCATCTCAGCTTCAAGCTCAGTACAAGGCTTTTCTCTCTAGAACACCTCTTTTATGTCCTATTTTCCTGATGCATTTACATTTATTGTCTGCTGTGCATAGCCATTCCTTATTTTTGTACTTTCTTAGTTTTGATTTGTGGCTATAAATTTTAGCCTTTCGCAGATACCTTTGGTTACTACTTGTTTTGAAATATGCTTTAAAGCTGGATGCAGTGGCTCTCACCTGTAATCTCAGCATTTTGGGAGGTCGAGGCAGGAGGATTGCTTGAGCCCAGGAGTTTAAGACCAGCCTGGGCAACATAGTGAGACTTTGTCGCTACTAAAAATTTAAAAAAAATAGCCAAGTATGGTGGCATGCACCTATAATCCTAGCTACTAGGGAGGCTGAGGTGGGAGGATCACTTGAGCCCAGGAGGTGGAGACTGCAGTGGGCTGTGATTGTGCCACTGCACCCAAGCCTGGGGAACAGAGTGAGACCTTATCTCAAAAAAAAAAAAAAAAAAAAGAGAGAAATACGGTTTATCTGCCTGCCTAGATTGTTACCTCAATGTGGGCAGGAACTTCAGCTTTTGCTGCTTTTTGCTCATAATGCTAAGTACAGGTAGGCAGAAACAGGTCATTTTTCACGTCTAGATTTTCTGTAGCTAACATTGCGCCCCAAAGACTGTGTTCTCAGTCCCGTTTTGTGGACGCCAGGTGTCCAGATTCTGTTGTTATCTGTCCTTGCAAAATCATTTCCCAGAGTGTAATGTAACTTGTGGAAAAATTCAACTCCATTTTTCCTAAATCAATTCCATGATTACCTAGCAAAGTATTACAGTTGCAATCTAGAAGCTAGTATGTAGGTCACATAAGTTATATGTATTTGAAGAACACTTTGAAAATCTTGCCATTACTAGGAAATTTATTATAGTTGGCTATGCATTATCCACTTTTTCTAAAAACATTTTTCAAATTATCTGTGTAAAGTCCTGAGCTACATTTTCTCTCCCCATCCCAAGAAGATGAAATGGAATGCTGACCCTGGTGCGGGAGGCAGCTTTCTGATAGATGGGGTACACCAGCCAAACACTCTTTGCCATGAATCTGGCAGTTTGCTTTGGAACAGATGTTCTCGTTCCCTTCTCCTCCTGCCCTCCCTCCTCATGGTAAATATGTCAGGGGCAGTATATATATATATTTACTGCTTTTCATTTATCTGGGATGAAACCAGTGCTTGAATGAAAACTAAGTGTCTCTAGCAAGAAGGGACAGGCTTACTCATAAAAATACTTAGGAAGCAGATTGAAAAAATGAAGACCTTCTGGAATCAGCCTAAATTAGAATATGTCTGATAATTTCTTAATCAGTCACGCTCCTTCTCTTTTCTTCATTTGAATTTTATTTTGCTTTTAAAATCAAGATGGCGCATGCCCTGCTTTAGGAAAACATGGTATCCTCTGGACACATACTGTTAAACACTCATTTCAGAGAAGGATATTTGCATTTCACAAGGATTCTCCATTTCATCAGATTTTTCTTTCTTTAAAGTTGAGCTCCTTTAATATATTTAAATTTACTGAAAACAACATCATCCACAACAGAAGTACATATAATCTTTAAGGAAACTTGCAGTTGTGTAACACTAAATTTGTAGTAACTAGGACTTAATGTCTGAAACTCTCCTCCAGACCACTGCCATCTAAAAACTTCCCATGGAAGCTTCGTGAAGACCTCCCAACTTTCGTTGATATAGGATTCCAGGGACTGTATGACTATTCACATTTCTTCAATCCCTACCCTATGAAATCCCGTATCTCCTGGTCAGGCTTGGTCGTATGATTTGCTTTGGGAAATGGAACATCAGTAGTATGTGCTGTATCCAACTTCTGAATAGAAGTGTTTGTTGTGATTACAAGGTTCAGATTGACCTTCTCTGCTCCAGTGCTTTCTACCCTAAGAAGGCTGTATCCTGACAGAAGCTGCTCTTTCAGCCTTGGTCCTAGAACAATACGATGCTGGTAACAGACCCAAATCCAACCTACAGCCTGGAATGTCAATGATTTATTTAATAAATCTTTAGAAAATGCTTAGGCATGAATGATACAGCAAAGAACAAAAAGATGTGGTCTTTATTCTCATTCTTCTTAAAATTAAGTAACTGAAACCATCCTTTTTTTTTTTTTTTTTTTTTTTGAGGTGGAGTCTCACTGTCCCCAGGCTAGAGTGCAGTGGCGTGATCTCGGATCACTGCAACCTTCACCTCCAGGGTTCAAGTGATTCTCCTGCTTCAGCCTCCCGAGTAGCTGGGACTACAGGCGCGTGCCACCACGCCCGGCTAATTTTTGTATTTTTAGTAGAGACGGGGTTTCACCATGTTGGTCAGGATGGACTCGATCTCTTGACCTCGTGATCCGCCTGGCTCGGCCTTCCAAAATCCCAAAGGGATTACAGGCGTGAACCACTGCGCCCGGCCAACCACTTTTTAAAATACTAAAATAACTATGAATAAATTGCAAAATGGACATGCATTTTTTGAAGATAAAGGACTAGAATGCTAAGAACTTTCAGAGTTCTGATGGTCTATGTAAAAGGAATTTCTCGAACCTTTGAGCTACATACCACTGCATTCATGCCAGTAGGAAAGTTTTGATGGCATTGACTGGCAGGTGTATATGTAATATGAGTTTGGGGTAAATCATGGACCCAGAAAAGCAGAAGTAGAAAGATAGGGAAGTTGGAGGCATGCAAGTGTATATATCCTTGCAATCCTTAGTTATATCCATGCAAGAGAGGAAATGATAAAAGGCATTAAAGTTGCCATTCAGCTGCATCATAAGAAGTGGGTTCAGAAGTAAACTTAACTACTATTAAGATAATGATGCTTAAGGATGTTTTTAGTATCTAAAGAAAGAATTAAGGAATAACATAGGAGTAGGAAACTGTGTAACGGAGTTGTTGACCCTGGTAGTAGAGTTTGGGGCTGTAAGAATGAAGTGCTGACTTTGCCTACCAGAAACCATTCCCAGCAGGAGATGGAACATGTTGATTGAGGGCGAGGGCTCTAGAGTTCTAGTACCTAGGTTCTGACCTTCATTCTGGGCTTAGTCATTGTGAGAGCTTGGGCAAGTAACTTAATCTTTTTAAATCTCAGTTTTCTTATGCATATGCTGTATCCACCTCATAAAAGCTTTCTGAGTATTAATAAGATCATGTACATAAACCATTTGGAATGGTGCCTGGCTCATTGTAAGTGCTCCATAGGAGATGGTATTATTTGCAATTGAGATAGAAGTGCTCCTTCTACAGCAAGAATCAGGAGCCCTGGAGGTAACAAGTTTATCGAAGAATTTTGTGAGAGTTCCTGGTATAGTCTTATTTCTGGGTCTCAAGCTCCCTAATCAAATACCTGTTTTTACTGGGACTGACTTTTATCATCAGAACATCCCTTAAAGTAGTTGGAAGCTAGCAGCCTTGGATTAAAAGCTGGCTGATAGAATTCAAGTCTCATACAGTGGTGTGAGTTGTGGCACCAAAGCTGTGTTTGAAACATAAGAATGTGGTTGACTTTTCAATCTATTTTTAAAAGGCTGGTGAACTACTTCATTCTTGGGTAGCCCTAGACCTTTACTTCTCCTTGCTGGCAATAAAATTCAGGATGGCCGGGCATGGTGGCTCACGCCTGTAATCCCAGCACTTCGGGAGGCCGAGGCGGGCAGATCATGAGATCAGGAGTTTGAGACCAATCTGACCAACATAGTGAAACCCTGTTTCTACTAAAAAAAAAAAAAAAAAAAAAATGCAAAAAATTTAGCCGGGTGTAGTGGTGTGCGCCTGTAGTCCCAGCTACTCAGGAGGCTGAGGCAGGAGAATTGTGTGAACCCGGGAGGTGGAGGTTGCCATGAGCTGAGATCGCACCATTGCACTCCAGCCTGGGCAACAGTGCGAGACTCTGTCTCCCCCCGCCAAAAAAAAAAAAAAAAAAACAAAAATCAGGACTGCACTCAGCTTGCACTATAAGATGGCTGTATTCATGGAACAGCTTGAAACTACAAGTCATGCGACGAGTCTTTGCCATGACTTTTGTGTCCTCTGCCACCCACTGAGGGAAGTGTCTGCCTTCCCTGATGGCATGAGAAACGTCACGCAGGCTGTAAGAACACGCCACCCAGGCGCCCATCTCATCTCCACACTGAGCATGAGCCACACCCGCCTGGAGGCGTGAGGGTCTAACCACCCTCTTTGGTTACAGATCATCATTTTTTTTTCCTGCCTGTGTCTTAGGAGGATCACAGGAGGTAGCATTAAAGCTTTTCTAAGCATTATTCATGCTACTTGACCCAATGTCTCTGTGTGAAGTCCCACTTATTTAGAAGAACAAGGAACTGCTCCTAGCTCCAGCCAGGGAACTAAAATATTGGTTCTTAGATAATACGTAGATCACAGTGAATCTTTTTTATTTGGAGATTACTATTCCATTTGGTGCTGGCATTGCCACATGACTCTAGGATGAAGGAAACCTATTCTCTGGACCCTTAGTCAAGAACACGTGTCCATAATTTCAGAAACAGCAGAAGTGTTGCTGGAAGGAGCACACTATGGGGTATGATGTGGTGTGGACATTTAAGAGTATCATGCTCAATTCGGTGATGAAATTGTGTGAATAAATTGAGTGCAAGAAAGCCCACACGTTCTCAGTTGCCACTTCACTTAATCTACCAGCAGCATTTGAACTGATACACTAGGTCAGCCCCTCTTCCCAGAAGCACTTTTTTTTGCGGAGTTTCCAAGACTCCCCATTCTCCTGACTTTGCTGTGGTCTCCTTTGCTGATTTTACCTCGTAGTGCTGATGTCTGACTATTGAAGTGACCTGGGGCACTTCTTTTGATGATCCCACCCAAACACCTCCCTGTAAATACCATGTACACACTGACAACTCCAACATTTATTACCTTTAGCTTAGACCTTGCCCCTGAGCTTCAGACACACATCCAATTGTCTATTCGTTTGATGCTTACTTTGTATGTCCAATGGGCATCTCAAGCCTAACACAACCAGATCAAAACTCCTGACCTTCCCCTCTAAAATTAGGTTCTCCTGCAATAATTCTCTTCTCATTAATGGGAAGTCTATCCTTCCAGTTGCTCAGGCTAAAAACCTTAGGGTTTTTCTTGACTCTGTTTGTCCTCTCAGATTTCAGATCCAAGTCTGTAAATAAATACTATAGGATCTATTTCCAAAATATATTCAGAATCTGGCCATTTTTCACCTCTTCTAATGCAACATCCTAGTTTAAACTACATTATGTTTCTCCCCTGGATTGTGGCAAAAGCTTTCTGGTTCTGCCCTTGTCTTTCCAGGTTATTCTCAACACAGCAGCCTAAGTGTCCTTTAGAGTGATAACTACATGACATCACTCACTCTTAGCTGGTGGTTCTTCCTTTAGCATTTGGTTTTCCATTTCACTTGGGGTAAAGCTTGCAATGGCCTACAAGGTCCTGCAGGAGCCTCTTACTGCCTTGGTGATCCTTCCCTGCCACTCCCTTGCTCTATCCCATATCACCTCCCTCCTTGCTCTATCCCATACCACCATCCCCCGTACTGGCCTCTTTCTTCCACAAAAATGCCAAGAACATTCCCACAGCAGGACCTATTGATGCAGGGAAGCAAGCCCCATAACGGGGGCTTAGCCCTGGAGGGCTCTTGACCTCATCCAGGAAGGAATTCAAGGGCATGCTGGTAATGTTAGAGAGCAACTTTTACTGAAGCACCAGTGAACAGCAACAGCATAGGTACTGCTCCTTGTGGAGCAGGGCTACCCCACACACAGTGTGCTTAGTGTAGCAGCTCAGAGGCAGTTCTGCAGCCATATTTATATCCACTTTTAATTACATGCAAACTAAGGGGAGATTATGCAGAAATTTCTAGAACAAGGGTGGTAATTTCTGGGTTGTGAGATTGTTGCCATGGAAAAGGGTGGTAACTTCAGGGTGTTGCCATGGCAATGGTAAACTGACATGGAACACTGGCGGGTGTTTTATGGAAAGATGCTTCCACCCTATCCCTGTTTTAACTAGTCCTCAATTTGGTCCAGTGTCCAAGCCCTGCCTCTGCAGTTGAGTCTTGCCCCCTGAGTTTAGTCCCACCTCCTACCTCTTTATAGCTTGTTCTTCCGTCTGCCTGGAATCTTCTTCCCCCAGATTAACCCCATAGCTAACTTCCTCACCTGCTTCAGATCATTACTTGCAGGTTTTTACACATGGGCTACCTCTTGGTGAACTTTCCCTGGCCATCCTTTAAAATTATAACTCTTTTGGGCTACACTTACAGCCATCTGAAATATTATATATTTTATAGATTTTTTTTAACTACCCTTTCCATCTTTCACAAGAAGGGTGCAGAAATATTTGTTGTGATCACTGCTGTATAAACATTGTCTGTGTACAACAGGGGCTCCAATAAATGTTTACTGAATGGATGAAAGAATGTATGTGAATGCTGCATTGGCATCAGAGTTGGCACATATTTATGAGGCTGACTTTTTGGCATCAAGAGCAAACTGTTCACCAAGGAAGTTACCAGGGGAATCTATTGAATCAATGCCTTTGTTCACAAATAGGAATTTTTGCTTTCATCCAAAGAAACAAGATTTTATTTGTTTTGGTTTTTAATGAGTTTAATTTAGCTGAAAATGTTTCCAGGGCTGTCGACCAATGGCCAGGAAGTCAAGAAGTTGCTCTTTTTTAGCAGAAGGTGAGGTAACGACTTCAAATAGGGTAATTATATTTATTTTGCCATCCTTTAAATTTCATGTTACTAACTGAATTTGTTGAATTCTTGCAGCTCCAAAACTACTGATTATAGATTCATAAAACTAAGAGATCCTAGGCTTCTTCTGGAAGGGTTATATTTGCATATTCTGTGTCATGTAACATACTGAATCCTTCTCTTAAGACACCTGTAGGAAATTATACTTCCTACACTAGTGGTAATCCTTTCCTTTTCTTTTTTAACATTTGACATAGAAAATTTCAAACATAAAAGTATGTAGAAGAGTATAATACAACCTTCATGAATCCATAATGTAGCTTCCAAATTTATCAATGTATGGCCAACCTAATTTCCTTTATAGCTTTTCTGATTATCTTCTATTTTCTTTTTCCCATACTGAGAATCCTAGTCCTCAACAACAATGAAAATTATATATTTAGAATATTACATAATTTTTTTTTGCTCAACCCCACCAAGACACCTGAACTGATCTTAGAAAACAGTAGCCAATACTGCCACCAACAATACAGTTACTGAAAGTTTAAGAGTTTCAACACATCATTTTAACATCAGTTCTTCTGAGTGTAATAATACAAGTACATACACATTTAGGTTAATTTGTTTTGGTTTATGTTAAATTTTTAGGTGTTGCTTTTTACAAAAATAATTTTGCTTTATAATTAATGTAAATAAGTCAAATCCACTAAACAAGATACTTTCACAGAAGTCTAGCTTCCATTCTTGACCATTTCATTCTAGAACTTTCCTTAGGTAACCACTTAAAAAAATCTTGGCCCAGCGCAGTGGCTCATGCCTGTAATCCCAGCACTTTGGGAAGCCGAGGCAGATCACGAGGTCAGGAGATCAAGACCATCCTGGCTAACATGGTGAAACCCCGTCTCTACTAAAAATACAAAAAATTTGGCCGGGCGTGGTGGCGGGTGCCTGTAGTCCCAGCTACTCAGGAGGCTGAGGCAGGAGAATGGTGTGAACCCGGGAGGTGGAGCTTGCAGTGAACCGAGATCTCGCCACTGCACTCCAGCCTGGGCGACAGAGCAAGACTCTGTCTCAAAAAAAAAAAAAAAAAAATCTTTATGGCTTATTCTTCTGTTGTTTTTTGTTAGCTTTTTGCAATTGTTGACTGATGTTTGATGGAATGGGGAGGCCAATGAATGCATGGTGAATTATTTTGATTAAGGGGTAGGTACATCCTCTCTATGAATGTTCCGTAATTGAGTCTACTCTCCTCTGCTGATGGGTTGTTTCTAGGCTTTTGCTGTTTCACAGAGTCCTGCAGTTCATTCTTTTCAGATATATCTTTCTAACCAGTGACTCTTGGGCATCAATTTTTATAGAAGAGGGGTTACTGAGTGAGAGGCTAAACGCATACATAGATTTGTTAGATGCTACCAAATTCTCCTCTGCAGGAATTGTGCCATTTTGGGTTCCTACCTCCAGTCTACATTGCAACGACTATTTCCCTCAGCCTCAACAACAGTGTGTCGCTAAACTTTTGGATTTTTGCAAATGTTATGGGTGAAAAAACTGTACCTCAATGTATTTCTAGTTTGATTTTTCTCATATGGGAATGAAATTGAATCCTTTTTTCATGTGGTGAAGAGATTTGCATTTATTTGCTTGGAAACTGCATTTTCTTCAGTGCATTTTTCTATAGCGTGATTGGTCTTTTTCCTTTTCTATTTTACCAACCCCTTCATCTGTGATACAAGTAGCAAAGATTTTCCTCAATTTGTCATTTGTCTTTTTTCCTTGCTTAGGATGCCTTTTGCCAACAATAGCTTTTTAGTCTTATTTCTATGTAATTAAATTCATCTATGTTTTTTTATTTCTTCTGGATTTTGAGTCACAGTGAGAAAATTCTCCCACGTTATAAAGTGATTCACACACATTTTCTTTTAGTTTTTGTATGGTTAATTTATTTACATCCGAGTCTTTGATGTGTTTGAAATTTATCCTGATGTATTCACTAAGGAAAATGACTATGTTTTTCCCATGTAGCTTTCCTGCTATCCCAGTGCTACTTAGTCTCTAATCTTTCCTTTCCCTCAACTGATCTGAGATACAGCCTTTATTGTATCTTAAATTTGCATTTGTAATTGAGTTGTCCTTTCTAATGCTTATTGACTTGAAAATTATTCATGTATTTGACCTGTATTATTTATGTTTCCATAGAGCCATTTCCTCTGGGTAAAGTGAAGGAATCCTTAATCAGACTCTTTTTCATAGGAGTAAAGGTCAGAGTCAAATTGCCTTTGAGATTTAATAATCTCAAATTTTAATTTTCTCTCTAAAATATTTTTTCTATCTCTGCAGCCTGTAAACAATTAAACACTCAATCCTTTTGCGTTTCACAGATTTTATTTTATTGTCAGTCTTAACTCCCTTTATTTCTCATACTTAATCAGCACATAATCCCAATTTGTCTCCTAATTATTTCTCAAAGCCTTCTCATGCGTTCCTATTTCCAGTTCTTTAGTTTCCACCTTAAGCACATCTCAGCTAGACCATTTTAATAGCGTTTCACTTGACACTTCTGCTTGCAACCTTGCCTCTCTCAGATTTGCCTACTTCACAGCTACCAAAGGGAGTTTTTAAAATAGTAAGCTGACCTGTCTTGTGTTTAATCCCCTGTTATCTGCAGGACAAAAATCTTGGTTCCTTAACAAGTCTGAGGAGCTCTCCCTACTCCTTCTCCTAACTTATTCTCTGCCCTTTGTCCCTCATAAATTAGCCTTTAGCAATCCTATACCACTTATTGGTCATCCAAGGCTCCAAACTGCTTCAGATTGCTTCAAACCTCTGCTGGTGCGCTCAGCTAGTCACTCAGCCTGGGATGCCTGCCTCTTCCTACCTTTCCATCCAGAGGTATCACTTCCTCCATGAAGCTTTTCCTACCCTGATGCTGTCTGCACATCAACTGCACAACTCCAGCCCTGCCCCATGCACTCACATTGTATTAAACTTATATGTAGATGCATTTATCCTTCACTTGACTGGAAGTCGTTTGTGAGTGGGAACAAATCTCTGTGAATGACAAGATTGGTCTCAATGAAAAACAGCCATAATATTCATTGTTCTTGGTATATATCTCTATATATAACATTTACTATATTGTACAGTATAGAGAGCAGTTTGTCCCCCTGCTAGTCTGTGAACATCTTGTGAGATGGAACTTAATTTCATTTGTCCATATATCCCTAAGCCTAGGATAGTCTATCATATGTAATAGGACCTCAAGAAATACAAGTTGCTGGGTAGAAAAAAAAAAAAGAGAGATCATGACGACAAAGGGTTAGAAAAATATGATTTTGGAGAAATAATTGAAATAACTGAGAATGCCAACCTCAAAAAGAAAGAGCATTTTCAAGATAGAGAGGAAAAGGCTGGTCAGAGTGTCAGCATGGAGCTCCAGAAAGCAGAACTGGAGGCAGAGCAGAAACATCACAGAGGGACAGATCACAACTTCCTGCAGAGTAAGCGGAAGGCGCCCTCGGGAACTTGTGAGGCTCATATCACTGGAGGTTTCCAAAACGACAGTTCAGAAACCCCAGTGAGAAATCACTACACACCCACCAGAATGGCCAAAATAAAAACTAGAACACCAAGTGCTGGACAGGATGCAGAGAAACCAAACCACCCATGCATTGGTGGAGGGAACGTAAGACAGTGCAGCCCCTCCAGAAAGTGGTTTCGTAATTTCTTATAAAACTAAACACAGGGTTACCACATGACCTAGCAATTACATGCTTAGGCACTCCTCCCAGAGAAATGAAGACTTGTATTCGCATGAAAATCTGCACAAATGATAATAGCACCTTTTACATTTACAATAGCCAAAAACTGGAATCAGCTCAGAACAGGTGAATGGCTACATAAATTGTGGCACATCCATACCATGGAGTCATCCTACTCTGCAAAAAGAGAAACACCCTTGATACAAATAACAACCTACAAAAATATCAGGGAATGATGCTGAGAGAAAAAAGCGAATCCCCAAAGGTTACGTACTGTACGATTTCATATACATAGTTTTGAAATGACAAAATTAAGAACTGTCCAGTTTCTTGACTGTGGTGGTGAATACGTGAATCAACCAAGGTGATAAAATTATAATAAACACACACCCCAGGACTGCTTGTCCCTGTGCTACTTTTTCTTACACCAAGAAAATCTGAATATGATTGATGGATTGTATCAATGTCAGTATCCTGGTTGTAACATACTGAGAAATAAAAATAAAATTCTAAGCCCCCAACTGAATGGACACCTTCTTGACCAAGGGGACCCCAAACCCTGGAAGCTGAGTTCATGGCCATGATGGGATGGGAGGTGGGACACACCTCATTATGCCCCCTCCCTTACTAACCACCACAAGGCTTTCTTCCCTAAGGGCTAAACAGGAATCAGATCTTTCAAGACTTCATAGTGAGCATTACTAGCTTATCTTCCCAAGTAGAGAATAAAGACAGGATGAGATGAGTCATTCCTTCACCCCTCCCTGAGACATCTGCTTCCTCTCTTCCCTTTTTCTTCAAATGCTCACCTGATTGTGGGTAAAATGTAGATTTACTGAGCACTAACTAAAGTCTCACAGTATGTACCCATTGGTCTCACAGCTCCCTCTCTCCTTTTTTTTTCTTTTTTAAAGGAAAATTATAAGTACTAAACCTCCCAAGAACCTCTTTGGCAAAACACCCACAGGTGCATCTGTGACTTGCATTTTTCTTGGGCCCACCCTCAAGCTGGCTCAATAAACCTTAATTGATTGGGGCACTTGCCTCAGTCATTCATTTTGGTTGTCAATATTATAATTTTGCAAGACGTTGCCAATGGGAGAAACTTGGCAGAGTTTATAGGGAAACGTCTCTTATTTCTTACAACTGCATGTGAATACAATTATCTCAAAAAAATTTCAATTAAAACATTGCAAATGGTCAAAATCATCCTATAAAATTCCTAAAATGTATTATACAGAATTTATGCCCCATATTAGGGGCTAAAATTCAGACTCTCATTAAAGCACAATGCTGAAAGTTAAAACAACAGGCCAGGTGTGGTGGCTCATGCCTGTAATCCCAGCATTTTGGGAGGCTGAGGCAGGTGGATCACGAGGTCAGGAGATCGAGACCACCCTGGCTAACACGGTGAAACCCCGCCTCTACTAAAAATACAAAAAATTAGCCGGGCGTGGTGGCGGGCGCCTGTAGTCCCAGCTACTCGGGAGGCTGAGGCAGGAGAATGGCGTGAACCCGGGAGGCGGAGCTTGCAGTGAGCCGAGATCGTGCCACTGCACTCCAGCCTGGGCGATAGAGCGAGACTCTGTCTCACAAAAACAAAACAAAACAAAAAAACAAAACCACAGGTTGGGCAATCCTTCTCAGGGATTTGTAGAGAGAGAGTGAGCTCATATATCAATTAGAGTTGGAAGGTGTGACCCTCAAGGGGTCCTTCTACTTGAAGAACCTATAATTTTATGATTCTTTCTGTTAATCGTGATTTATTTCTCTTATCAAAGTCATCTTAGATCATCATTTTGTCTTCCAAAATGCTGGCCTAATTTCCATCTTGGAGAAATTTGTATCCCCAAATGGTCTTTTAAAAATACTTTTTTCTTTTTTTTTTCGATTATTGGTAAAAATCAGCATTGGGCACAGAATGAAATTCTGTCCAACACTCTAATTCTGATCAGTTGACTTCCATTCTCTGTCTGTGGGTAGTGCTTGATCACCTAAGACCTACACTGCAGGATCACAGAATCTGAGCATCAAAGAGGACCTTAACCCATTTATGCCTGAGGTTGAAATTTATGCCTGAGGTCACCTGCTTGGCGATGACCTTGAGCAGTAGGATATAAATAACTCCCACATGCTCAGTGTTCCAATAATGGAACGCAAAATACCTAAGCTAAATACCTCCAGCATCACAGGCATCTGGATCAGGTTTTTATGATTTGCTGATGAATGTTCAGTGGGATTTATTAGACTCTCTTTAGTTCCTGGGTGAAAAAAAAAATAGAAAATAGCATTTTGAAATAACAATTTTTAAAACTCTCAACAGTAGGTATCTTAACTCCTTTTCTTCCAGCATGTCAACTAATTGTTTCTTTTCTCCTTTTAAATATGAAGGAGTAAGTTCAAAGCAGTATCTCTAGAGATTGGAAAAAAAAAATGGCATTATATTACAGGAAATATACTCTGGAAAGCCAGTGGGTTTTTTACAGGTGTCTGTCCAGGTATAACTGTGTAGGTAGCCACAGGTTCCTTTGAGTGCTGAGTTTGGGACAGTTCTCATAGTATCTTGGATGTGCTTAGCTGCTCATTCCTCCATTAAGTACCTCAGTTCACATGCATGGACATGCTATTCTTCCGAGGATCCTTAAATTGACCGCAGGAGGAGCCCTAGCTGCTGTTCCCCATTTGATACCCCTTTTCAGCAAGAAGTAGCCAGAAATAGTCGTCGCCCAAAACCCCCTAACAGCAGTTAGGGTGACCTCTCCACAGGGAGGAATATTATAGGAGTTATTAAGACATTATTTTAGGCAGCTAGAGGGGAAAAGGGGTCCTTGGGAAGTTTTCGTTTCTTTTAAAGCGGCTCCAGAAATGTTTCTTGTCTAGCAGGAAAGCCCCAGCTCTAGCCGGCCGGCAACCTTTGATACACAAGTGTGGGCCATTAGAAACTGGGTCCACCCAAACATGGCGATTCCCGTGTCTTCTTGCCTTTGCCTTCACATGTGCCTGGCAACATGGCGCCCCCACATATCCCCAGGTGTGTAGAACATCATGGCGGCCTTCCTTTACATATTAAAAGGCTAGGTTGGGAGGGGCAATTTTTTCATGGGCTACATAAATGACATGCCTGGTCAAACCAATCCCCTGAGCCCAGTGCAAATCAGCCACTGCCTTCTCCAGCCTCCTCATATAACTGGCTGGTTTCCTCTCTGGGGTTTGGAGCCCCCTGTCCTTCCCTCTCTGTATGGGGGAGCTTCTTCCTTCTTTCTTGCCTATTAAACTCTCCGCTCCTTAAAACCATACACACAAAGCACCTCAGTTCAGTACTTAGCCATGTGTTCTGAAAGTGCCTCTGTATTTCAGCCTTGCCTGTCTGCTGGATGCTTTCAGCTTCTGCTTGCACCAATAAGGCAACATGGACAATTTTCCGCTTATGTGATAAATGAGAATGTGAGAAAGAAATTTCTTCCTCCATGCTTACTGTTGGAGTTTGCCATCTTCTTAAATGGGCTTCAAGAATCATCTAGTTCAATTTCCTGCCCAAGTTTAAATTTTTATGAGGATTTATATTCCTTCAAAGTATTTATTGTACTTGCTATGTAGAGAACTGCTAAGATAAATTTTAAAAGATGAAGAAACAGGAAGGTTGTGTCTGACCCAAGGCCAATAAGCTAGTCATGACAAAGTTGGGTCTAGAGCTCATGGATGGAATTTCCCTCCATATAAGCTTAGACTGAAAGGTGCTTCTTGTTTTTCTTTTCTTTTCTTTTCTTTTCTTTTTTTTTTGAGAGGAGTCTTGCTCTTTCACACAGACTGGAGTGCAGTGGCATGATCTTGGCTCACTGCCACCTTCGCCTCCTGGGTTCAAGTGATTCTCCTGCCTCAGCCTCCCGAGTAGCTGGGATTACAGGCACCTGCCACAAAGCCTAGCTAACTTTTGTATTTTTAGTAGAGACAGGGTTTCACCATGTTGGCCAGGCTGGTCTCGAACTCCTGACCTTGTGATCTGCCCATCTCGGCCTCCTAAAGTGCTGGGATTACAGGTGTGAGCCACTGTGCCTGGCCGCTTTTTCTAAAATTTTCAAAGCACTGGTGTGTTAGGCCATTTTTGCATTGCTATAAAGGAATACCTGAGACTGGGTAATCTATAAAGAGAAGAGGTTTATTTGGCTCACAGTTCTGCAGGCTGTACCTGATGCATGACATCAATGTCTGCTTGGCTTCTGGTGAGGCCTCAGGAAGCTTACAGTCATGGAGGAATGTGAAGAAGGAGCAGGTGTGTCACATGGCAAGAGCAGGAACGAGAGAGCAATGAGGGGAGGTGCCACACACTTTCAAATAACCAGATGTTGCACAAACTCAGAGAACTCACTCATCACCAACAGGATGGTGCTAAACCATTCATGAGAGATCAGTTCCATGATGCAAACATCTCCCACCAGGCCCTACTTCCACCATCAGGAATCACATTTCAACCTGAGATTTGGAGGGGACAAACCTCCAAACCATATCAACAGGAACACCATTGTTTTTCTAACTAGTCTCCATAATTATTAACACCTTTCTCTGCCAGGAAAATCTTGTTGACTGCAGAACTTACTCTGTCTTTCATTCCACCTTCTCTGGAACCTGTCCAAGGACAAGTCCACTAAATAATCCTTCATCAAGGCACATTATTCCTCCTCTAGTAAAAACAGCAGGATTTCTAGCTTCCACACAATGTATGCTTTTAAATACATTCATAGGATAAGTTAGTCACTGGAGAAAGTTTATTTTATTTTTAAGTGTTTTGATCATGAAAAGAAATTATGAAGACCCATTTACTTTGAAGTAGCTTTCAGCTATTAAAAAAATAAAAAATATTAATAGCTACGTGCAGTGATGTAGAAGAATCTCAAAGACTTATTAAGTAAGAAAGCAAGCAGCAAAAATATGTATTCTTTGCTTCCCTTTTGTCTTTAAAATCTGTATATTTGGCTGGGCTCAGTGGCTCACACCTGTAATCCCAGCACTTTGGGAGACTGAGGTGGGTGGATCATGAGGTCAGGAGTTTGAGACCATCCTGACCACCATGGTGAAACTCCATCTCTACTAAAAATACAAAAATTAGCCAGGTGTGGTGGCACGCACCTATAATCCCAGCTACTCAGGAGGCTGAGCAGGAGAATCGCTTGAGCCCCATAGGCAGAGGTTGCAGTGAGCTGAGATTGCCCCACTGCACTCCAGTCTGGGTGACAGAGCAAAACTGGGTGACAGAGCAAAACTCCGTCTCAAAAAAAAAAAAAAAAAACAAAACAACCACAACAAAAAAACTATGTATTTGTGTATATGTGTGTATAAAAATGCATGGAGATCTCTACAGAAGTATGGCAGACTGTTAGTCATGATTACCTCTGGAGCATAGTCAGAGGGATAGGAGGAATTTTTGTATAGACTATAATAGATTATACTTCAGTGCTGTGTTTAAAAAGAAGGATGTATTGATATATGTATTAGTCCATTCTTACACTGCTAATAAAGACATACCCAAGACTGGGTAATTTATAAAGGAAAGAGGTTTAATGGACTCACAGTTCCACGTGGTGAACTGAGGGGAGGCCTCACCATCGTGACGGAAAATGAAGGAGGAGCAAAGTCACGTCTTACATGGTGGCAGGTAAAAAAAGCTTGTGCAGGGAAACTCCCCTTTATAAAACCATCAGATCTCATGAGACTTACTCACTATCATGAGAAAGACCCGCCCCCAGGGTTCAATTACCTCCTACCAGGTCCCTCCCACAAGACATGGGAATTATAAGAGCTACATAAAATTCAAGATCAGATTTGGATGGGGACACAGCCAAACCATATCAATATATTCCTTGAGAAACTTTAAAGTCATTGCAGAAACAAAAAGTAGGCAATTTCCCCTCTTACCCCTACAGAACCAAAAACCTAACAATTCATACCTCTGTTAAATGCCTGTTCCAATTTGAAAGTCCTCTTATAGTCTACTAATGGCTAATTGAAGGCTCTTTTATTTGATAGCTAACCAGGACGACCTTCTGAGTATTTTTCTAATCCTAGTTCAATATTCATGGTTAAATGTTATAAAATACATCTTAATTTTAAATTGCATCAAGTTCTCAATTCAGAAATAGTTTTAAACACTATTCTGGAGGAAGTTAGTGTTTGTCTAAAATCTTGATGAAACTGAGCATTTCTCTCAGAACTAATGTCAGAGCTGGTTTCTCTGCAACTTTTCCAGGTTTTCCTAGCTTGTTTATCAAAAGCTTCCTTGGTAGTCAGTAAGAAACCTGGACCACAGATGGTTGGTTTATTCTATTTAACACATGCCTAGTGACGGATCAACCTTTAGGGATCCACAGAATTGCTGGTTGTATATAGGAAGTAAATTTTTCATTAGCCTTTGAGAAGTGTTGATTGTTTTCTTGGGCATAGTTATATTGGTAGACATTTCTGAGTGCCTCACTAAATGCCTTACTGCTGTTAGCTCTCTTAGTGGAGACATGGAAGCAACCGGGGATTGAAATAGGGGAGTTTGTTCATTTTCTCATTCCTTGCATAGTAATTTATGCAGCAGCCTCCAGCGGCCAGGCTCTGTGACAAACCCTGGGTAGACAGAGAAAATGGAGACATGACACCTGGCATTGAGTCACTTACTGTTCAGACCTGAGTAGCAGCTGTCCCTGGGAGGGTGTGATGCATAGGGAAAGGATGCTGTGGGAGCAGAGGACAGGTTTGTATGTCATTCTTGCAACTCATGGTAGGGCTGTTTGGAATGTGAGGCTTTACCTGGGTTTTGGGAGATGAATAAAAGAAAGCAGTGAGAGAAGAGTGCATTTTGGACAGAGAAACACAATTGCAGCTGAGAAACTACAGCCATTTTGCTCAATCATGTGAAACTGTAAAATTGCTAGATTTTTTTTTAGGTCAAAAGTATCATATAGGGCCAGGCTCAGTGGCTCACACCTGTAATCCCAGCACTTTGGGAGGCTGAGGTGGGCAGATCACCTGAGGTCAGGAGTTTGAGCCCAGCTTGACCAACATGGAGAAACCCTGTCTCTACTAAAAATACAAAAATTAGCAAGGTGTGGTAGTGGGTGCCTCTAATCCCAGCTACTTGGGAGGCTGAGGCAGGAGAATTGCTTGAACCTTATAGGCAGAGGTTGCAGTGAGGCGAGATTGTGCCATTGCACTCCAGCCTGGGCAATAAGAGTGAAACTCCATCTCAAAAAAAAAAAAAAAGTATCAAATATTGGCAGTTTCATATGGTGCAACGTAACAGTTCCTCATGACTGGAGAAAAAGGTGTCTGGGATGAAATAGCAGAGAGTGAGCTGAAAGTGATGGGCAGGACCAGATGTGGAAGAGCCGCTTCTACACTATTCACATTTTGAGCCAAATGAGCTTTGTCCTGGGTGCTATCCTGTGCATTGTAGGATGATGAGCAGCATCCCTGGCCTCTACCCACTGAATGCTAGCCGCTACCTCCGACAGTTGTTAATGACCAGAAATGCCTCAGACATTGCCAAATGTCCCTGGAGGGAGGGGTGGGAAAATCGTCCTAGCTGGGAATCACTAACATAAGGGATTTGAATACAACCTTGAAAACCACGGGAAAGCATGGAGGCTGTTCATGGGAGAATATCAGATTTGCTCTGGTAGCAAATGGATTAGCAGAGGGCCAGGCGAGGTGGCTCATTCACTTTGGGAGGCCAAGGCAGGTGAATCACTGGAGGTCAGGAGTTCAAGACCAGCCTGGTCAACTTGGTGAAACTCCATCTCTATTTAAAATACAAACATTTAGCCAGGTGTGGTGGTGCACACCTGTAATCCCAGTTACTCAGGAGGCTGAGGCAGGAGAATTGCTTGAACCCGGGAGGTGGAGGTTGCAGTGAGCCAAGATCACGCCACTGCATTCCAGCCTGGTTGACAGAGTGAGACTACATCTCAAAAAAAAAAAAAAAAAAAAAATTAGCAGGGAACAGATAAGAGGCATGGATCCACATAGAGCAATTGCAATAATCAGATAAAGGTCTGATGGAAGAAGGGTGGGAGTCATAGATATTAGGGGTTTGGAAACTGAATTATGGGAGAGTGTGTGTGTGAGTGTATGTGGAGTCAGGTGAGTAAAAGGAAAGATTCCAAAATGATGTTAAAACAAAGTGTGTGTGAGAGTAACTAGAGTGAGGGCTGGCAAGGGTTAGGACAAATGTGGATAAAGCGGTGCCATGAGCAACTAAGGAAACTGTCTATGAGGATGGAGAAGTCACGTTTGGAAGAGTTGATGAGGATGATCAGAAATGCCAACTTGATCCCCCACCCCTCCCTACCTCCTGTCTGGCGTAGTGTGAACAACTGTCACTACATGGAAGCCAGCTAGAAACGCTCGTAGTTAATGTCTGACAGATTCTGTGCATTTGATGAGAACTGAAAATGATTGATGTTCCTAGTACCTTGGATGTGCCATGCTCTTTCTCATCTCAGGTTATCTCATGGGTTAATCCTCCCACCTGGTAAGTGCTTCCCATCTTTCTTCATCTACCCTTTTTCTTAAGGTCTTAAAAATAGCTTCATCAGGAAAACCTTCCATGACCTCTCTCCACACCCCAGAAATAGTTTAGGTCCCCCTGTTTTATTCTTTCATAGCATCTGCTACTTCGTGAGGTACTCGGCATGTGTTAAATTTTGACCTCTTTATAAACATTGGTTTCCTGTCCCTCTCCTCTCTAGACAGTGAGCTCCATGTGGGCAGGGACCGGTTTCTGTTGCCCACAGCTCTATCTCCAGCACTGGCATAAGGCCTGCTATTTACAGGCAGTCCAGAAATAGGATTGACCAACTACTCCACTTCTGGAATTTTTTCCGAAGCCAAGTGAGGTGGGGGATGCTAGATTCCACCTCTGGAATGTGGTTTGTGTATTATTTTTATAATACATAGAATTGGAAGGAACCTCAGAGTTCATCTAGTTCAAACTCACACTGAGGAAGGGATTGAGAAGAGGCAGAAAAGGAGGAAAAGCCCTTCCATTGAATGTTACTGAGGGTCCCACTGTGACCAGATGGGGCTCATTCACACCCAGGAGCTTCCAGACATGTGGGAGGCCTCTCAAAATAGCCTATCCAGGCCAAGGCGGGCGGATCACTTGAGGTCAAGGGTTCGAGACCAGCCTGGCCAACATGGTGAAACTCTGTCTCTAAAAAAAAAATACAAAAAATTACCCAGGCCTGGTGATGGATGCCTGTAATCCCAGCTACTGGGGAGGCTGAGGCAGGAGAATTGCTTGAACCTGGGAGGTGGAGGTTGCAGTGAGCCAAGATCGTGCCATTGCACTCCAGCCTGGATGACGGAGCGAGATATCTTAAAAAAAAAAAAAAAAAGCCTATCCAAGAACTGATGGGGAGAAGCTTGAAGCCACTGCCGCCTGTCTCCTTAGATGGAGAGCTGCCCCTGTAGGTATTGATGACCCCCCAATTCTGGCTTGCGCCTGTGTGCTTGCAGGGAAGGTTCTCTGGGGAGAAAGCAAAAGACACCTGGGGAGATGCTGTCAACAGAGAGGAAGTCAAAGTTCATGCAGACCTGGCCTCAATAAACACAGCCAAAACCAGAGCTGTAGAGCAGGTGAGACAGCCCTAGAGTGTGCTGCAGAGGACCTTCTGCACCCCTGGCAAGTGACCATCTGACCTGGTAATGTCCAGTACGGAACCATGCCAAAGGCACCGCCTCACCGAAAGGGATGATTAAGCATCTTTCCGAAAGAAAAACTAACCTCCACATGTTTTCTGTTTCTCAGGCTGGCGCTAAAAGGTTTGATTGAGTAGGTAGGATGGAAGGAGGTTTCCAAGGTTCTGCAATAGAAATGCTGGGAAAATAGAGACTTTAATTTTTTTCTCCTGTTGTTTTTAGTTGTCACTGTGTGATTTATTGCTGCAGTAAATTACTTCTAGCTTCTAGCACTGTTTTTGGTTCTTAAAGGATTCTATATCTATTTGCCAATTATTATAAGCTTTTTAGTTTATACATAGGAATTATATTCACTTTCATGTTTTCCAGTCTTCTATTCACTGCTTACCATATGCAGTGCTGTTTTTCACTTTTAAGATAAACTTCCTTTGAGCACCTTCATGTTAGAAGGAAAAATGCATTTGGACATTAGAAAACAAAATACTGGTTGTAGAGAAAAATTATGTGAGCATAGCAAATGAAGGTGTAGCTTTCATAGACACATTAAATTCATTTTATAGAATAGTACCAACAAAATCCTGCATTTCTCTATAGCCAGCTGAATAATAAGCTAACCCTATTAAGCTTCTGATGAATTAGTAAATATTGTATAAGGTAGGCAACCATATAGTTCATTTAATTACCCTTATTTTAAATTATTTCCTTTAGTGTTATGGAGATAGAGCTACCTTGACATCTATAATCATTTTCCTTATAACTCTTTATTTTTCCATGTTTTTATAATGCACAAGAAATCATAAAAATACCTCTTTGGAAAACTTCTCATTAATGCAGTGAAGGTCAATGTGGTAAAGATTCATGCAAAAAAATAAAAAGTGTCTTACTTGTTCTATTTTTTCTGGTGGAAGTGATAAAACTGTGAATAATCTTATTTGTTCCATTTATTCTCTAGTTTATCTAAATTACATCTTACAGTTATCCTGTCACAAACATAATTGACTAACCTTGTGCCTGAAATGTATTCCATATCATTCTCTCGGCATGAATGGGCTTGAAATCTCTTAGTCATTTTCTCAGCAACACTGATAGCAGGGGAGAGTGCTAAGGCCTTGGAAGAACAGAAGCATGGTGCAGGCGGAAGCCGGGGTGGGAGAATATTCTATGTGGAAAGCAAATATGTTCCTTTCCTTTGACCTTAGAACATGACTCCAACCTCATTCATTCATTCAACAAATGTTTACTGAATAGCCCTATGTGCCAGAAGACACTCTAGTTATCGGAAATGCACAGATGAACAGGACAAGCAGGGTCCCTGTCCTCAAGGCCTCTACCAGCAGGAGGATGGAGTGGATAGGACAATGCAAGCATTGAAACCAATAACAGCTATGGAACAGACCAGGGGCAGAGAGTGCAGGGACATCTTCATTTTAGACAGGACTGTCAAGGGTAGCTTCTCCGAGGAGGTGACATTTGAGCAGAGATCAGAACAGTGAAGTGTGAGGGTCTGAAAGGACAGAACTCCAGATAGAAGAAAAGTGTGGGGCCTGAGCACACCACCTAATGTCTAGGTGAGGTCACATCACATCACATCTCTCATGTGGCTGAAGAATGCTGAGGTGGGAAAACATTACAGGATGTGGGCTTGGAGAGTCAGCAGAGGTGGGGTCCCGGCGGCCCTCACAGGCCACAGGAAGGATTCTGTGTTTAATCCCAAGTATGATGGGAAGTCTGTGAAGGAAGGGGAGGGGTCCACATGATCCTGTTTCTTGTTACAGAAGACCACTCGGGCTTCTGGGTGGGCAATACGCTGCAGGTGGTGAGAGTGGACACAGAAGGCTGTTGCAACTATCTGATTAAGAATGAGGGGTGGGCTTGGCTGAGCCTGCCAGTGCAAGGAGTGGAGAGGGGTGGAGCACTTTTGGAATACGTTTTGGAGGTACTGCTGATGGGGACCAATAATGGAATTGATGTGAGTAGAAGAGACAGAGAAGAATCGAAGATCATGCCTAGGCTTGGGGCTCTGGCAGGAGGAATGCTGGCACCATTAACTGGGATGGGGACAATGGGAGGAAGAACAGAATTTGGGGAAGTCTCAAGGATGGTGCTTTGCCCATGTGTTTGCGATGCTTATTAGACCCTGGAGTGGTGATGTTCAGTGGGCAGTTAGAACAGTCCAGGGCTCAGAGGAGGGGCCAGGGCCAGAAATAAAAATTTAGCCATTATTGGCATGTGGGTGATACTTAAAGCTACAGGACTGGTTCTTTCATTCTATTTGTACTCTGTGGCTTTTACTCACTCCAGGAATTCTTCCTGTTCCATAATGTGTCTTCTCTCAAGGCTCATGCTTTGCCTATGTCCATTTTTTGTCCCATGTGCAGAGAAAGCTTATGCACATGGGCATATAATTGGCAGGAGGTTCTTGGGGGCTGGAAAAGCAGGCGGGTGGTGGGAAAAGATCCCGGGACTTGGAATCAGAGAACCTTGGATTTAGGTCCGTGCTGGGCCACTCCCTCCCTAAGCTTCAAGCTCCTTATCTGGAAAATAGTAATGATAATAGCTTTCAATGTATGGGATGGCAAGAGGCTTTTGTGTATAAATACAAAATAGACTTGGTATATAGTAGGTACTTGATCAATAACTGAATTTTAATCTCCTTATCTAGAGTGTGGGGTCCCTGAGATCAGAGACTATGCATTTACTCTTTGCATAATTGAGGCCTTTTGAAAAGTTTGCTTTTCATCAGAGGAGGTACCATGAGTTTCTTCATTTTTGTCCTTCCTTAAGCCTGAATAGTGGGATATTCACTATATATTAAACAAACCACATAATCCAGCAATTCCCAGCCTTTTTTGCACCAGGGACTGGTTTCATGAAAAACAATTTTTCCACAAAACTGGGGGTGGGGGTGGGTGGGAAGGGGATGGTTTGGGGATGAAACTGTTCCACTTCAGATCAGTTAGATTCTTTTTTTTTTTTCTTTTCTTTTGAGAGAGAGAGTTTCACTCTTGTACTCTTGTCGCTCAGGCTGGAGTGCAATGGCACCATCTCAGCTCACTGCAACCTCTGCCTCCTGGGTTTAAGTGGTTCTCCTGCCTCACGCTGCCAAGTAGCTGAGATTACAGGCGCCTGCCACCAAGCCCGGCTGATTTTGTATTTTTAGTAGAGACTGGGTTTCTCCATGTTGGTCAGGCTGGTCTTGAACTCCTGACCTCAAGTGATCCACCATCCTCAGCCTCCCAAAGTGCTGGGATTACAGGCGTGAGCCACCACGCCAGGCCTAGAATCTCATAAGGAGCACGCAGCCTAGATCCCTCGCCTACACAGTTCACAGTAGGGTTTGCGCTCCCGTGGTAATGTAATGCTGCTGCTGCTCTGACAGGAGGCGGAGCTCAGGAGGTGATGCTGGCTGGCCGTCACTCACCTCCTACTGTGGGGCTCAGTTCCTAATAGGCCATTGGTACCATAATAGTTTGCAGCCCGGGGATTGGGGACCCCCGATATAATCAATTCTTTTTTTTTTAATGCTTAGCCTCTGTTTCTCTCCCTCCCAAGGCCCAAAGGCAACTGTTAAACCTAATCAAGAAGAATTCTTTGTTTTATAAGGATCAAAATGTGTTTTGAGACAAAATATGACTTTATTCTCTAGAAACACTGCAGCTACTCCTAGGAAAGAATGAATACGCTTGCTTAATTTTACATATCCGGCATTTTCTTCATTATGTCATGTGCTTTTGTCCAGAATGCATTTACTTGGAAGCATTCCCAAGACATAGAAAAGTGAGTGCCAACATCTTTTTCAAGCATAAATTGGATTTGATCATGTTTATGTTGAATGCATGAGATTTCGTTATTTGTTTTTATATAAATTCTCTCTACTCACGCTGAGAAAACCTCTGGTACAGTGACACTTATTACAGCTTTTCCCAATCAATCAACCAATGTGTATTGAGCCCCTACTATGTGTAGAATACAGGACTGAGCATGTGAGGAATGCAAATAAATAGTGTGCACAGTCTTGTTTTTTCATCTTGCACATTAATTATTGAGCGAAGGGTTAGCTACGTGAGAAAAGAAAATGCACACAGAAACTTAAGACTGGAAGGAGCCTTAGGGTGCGGTCACTTCACTTCTTGTTCAACTCATGTGGCCCTTTTTACAGCTTCCCCCAATGGTGTCATCTTCCTTGGATTGATCCCTGTTAGAGAGGGGGCTCACTATGTCCCTAGCTCTCCTGTTAGAATTTTGGACAACTTCAATCCTTAAAATTATATCCTATGACTGTATAGAAATTTCAGTGCCTTTCACCCGATCTTTCTGTGACATGCCATGTCTACAAAAATTTGGAGATCTCTCAAGTCTGACGTTTTAATAACTAGCATTTTTGCAACGCTGGAAGTTCGCAAAAGGCTTTTGCATATTTTCTTCTGACGGCAATTTTGAGAGTTAGGTATTATTCTCCTCGTTGTACTGGTAAGATCAATAGAGTTAAGTGACTAAGTTCAAGGTCGCAAAGCTAATATAACAAGAATTTAAACCTTAAAGTCAAAACTCCCAAGTCTGTTTTTTTCCACTAAACCGTGGTATCTATGATTACAATACAAGAGTTTGCACAAACAATAGCCAAATTGTGTAAAGAGAATTGTGGAGAAAGACGTCAGCCTATGCTGGAGGTGGTTATGAAGGTTTTGTGGAAGAGGATAAAGCACATTTTTTACTTGCCATAGGCTGAGTGATCATAATGGAGTTGTTTTCAATAAGATGTCTGTATTTTCAGCAGATAAAACTTGCTTCTGTTATGAAACACTTCAAGATTTTTGATTGAACAGCGAGACGATTCAACCTTACGAGTTTGGTATATGTGAGCTCTACTGAGTCTGTGGAACAGAATGTTAATGTTCTTCCCTTGGCCTGCATATGATAATCTGTATGTCTAGGTTGTACTCACAAGTGCTGTATTGCTGGGACCTCAATACACTTAGGATATAAACACATAGTAAGTTCTCAGCTGATCTTTCTGACCTCCCCTCACATCTTATTTGGACTTTCTTTATGTGGCCTTATTTATTGCTATTTCCTTTTAATCTATCTTTGCTTTCTGCAATTAATAGGAAAGCCCTAGTTTGGAAAAGACACTTCGAAATGTTTCTCAGGAAAGGTGTTCAAGTTTAACTATATCTGTGACTGGGACTTTTTTCTTTCATGTTTCTAATGTAACTTGTCAAGCCATTGTCAAGCCTCTAGAGTGATTTGAAGTGAGTATCAGAAGCACTGGCTTATACTTTCCAATGTGTTTCTCCCTTTTTAGTGTAAATATTCATATACATTCCTGCTGTGTTCTAGGAACTCTGAGAGATGTTGAGGCTACCAAAAAAAAAAAAAAGAAGAAGAAGAAGAAAAAGACGTGCTAAGAAGCTCCAGGAAGAATTCCCACAGGAGATGATATTAGAATGTAATAGAGATATAGAATAGTCTTAAAGTAACTAGGTAGGGAGTGAGGGAGTACATTGCTGTAGAAAGACATTCTACCTCCTAAGCCTTGGTCCTACCTATTAGCAGGATCTGTTTTTCTCTTATCCCTATTGAAACAGAGAACATATCCTCGATGTTTTGCATGCGTTGAGCCTTATGGAGATTGCTGTTCTTAGTTTTTTTAATCTATCAACAGGTTCTACGGCTTGCTGCTTCACATTTTTTCTCTAATAATGGTGATTAGGACTAAGTTAATAGCAGTGGAGATAATAAAAAATGGTTAAATACTGAGTGTATTTTGAAGTTAGAGCAGTTAGGACTTGACCAGAAAATATGAGGAAAAAAAAAACAAAGAAAAAAAACAGAAGTCAAGGATAATTCAAGCAGCAGAAGGATGGAGTTGCCATCAACCAAGAAGCCTATGGGAGGAAGAGTCATGTAAAGTTCGAGGTGTCTAGTAGATACCCATTTGGCTATGTAAGTCTAGAGTTTCAGAGGAAGGGTCCAACGAGGTCTATGTAGAGATAAAAATGTCAAAATTGTCAGGGTTTAGTGGTATTTAAAATAATGATATTAGGTGAGACGATTGGTAGATCTAGGAAAAAGAAGAGGTCCAAAGGCTGATTCTTGGGACACTCAACATGTAGCTATATAAAAGAGAATAGAAACTAACAAAGGAGACTGAAAAAGAGGGGCCAGAGAGTAAGAAAGAAAATAGAACCAGGGGTGGTAGCTCACGCCTGTAATCCCAGCACTTTGGGAGGCTGAGGCGGGCGGATCACAAGGTCAAGATATCGAGACCATCCTGGCCAATATGGTGAAACCCCATCTCTGCTAAAAATACAAAAATTAGCTGGGCTTGGTGGCACACATCTGTAGTCCCAGCAACTAGGAGAGGCTGAGGCAGGAGAATCGCTTGAACCCAGGTGGTGGAGGTGGAGGTTGCAGTGAGCCAAGATTACGCCACTGCACTCCAGCCTGGTGACAGAGTGAGACTCCGTCTCAAAAAAAAAAAAAAAAAAGAAAAGAAAAGAAAGAAAGAAAATAGCATGCTGGCTTCCAACTAAAGACAAATTTTCAAAGTGTGAGAAGTGATGCCACTGATAGGTCAAGTAAGGTGAGGATTGGGAGCTGAGTTAGCAGCACACAGAGGTTGTTCATAACCTTGACACCCTTGACACTCCTTCCATGGAGTAGTGGGAACTGGAGACAGGGAATGCAGAAAAATGTTTTGAAATAGTTACTGTGAAGGGAAGGAAAGAAATGAGATGGTAGCTGGAGGGCAAAGTGGGGTCAGGAGGGCATTTCTTTTATAAACATTATTCTTTGTAGACATTTCCATTATTGACCATCCAGTGTCCAACAATTTTTTCTCACCCATTAAAAATAGTTGGCTCTCTAGTTATTTAATAGGTCTTTCTAGCCAGAGATGCTGCTCAGCATCCTACAATGC